>NC_000001.11:241941697-242093212 GCF_000001405.40 Homo sapiens | reverse complement strand
TGCAGCCTCTGCACATAGTCACGTGTCTAAGAGCACACGATCAGGAACGCCACCTTGGCCACGGGGGTCTCTGGGCAGCGACACCAACACAGTATTATGTACCACTTGGAAGACAGTTCACTAATTTATATCAGAAATAAATTCGTCCAAAGCTATGTCTATCATGAAGCCACTGATAGTACCGTTGTGCTGTTTATTGAGGGGGCAGATGATGGGTTGGGATGAGGGGAGAAGGATAAAGCAAAAGGGGGCAGGTCCCTCTCTCTGCTGATATTTGGTTTAGGGACTTGGTGTTCTTAGGCTCTGAGGAATAAACTTTAGGAGTAAAATGAGAGACAAGAAACCACCTTCTGATGTTCTCAGGGGTGCCAAATGGAAAAGGGACTCGGTATGTTCGAGGGCTCCAGAATACAGAGCAGAGACCAAAATACAAAAGCTGCAAAGGAACAGAAACTGGCTGTCTCCCAGATGTGCTTTCTTCCAGCAGCTTCTCCCACAGATGACTGCGGGCCCTTGGGCCAGGGGTGCCCAGGGAGACAGATGATCTCAGCGTCTTAGTGATTTCTGCAGCGAAACCTGAGTTGCTGCAGAGGGGACGGAAGGCCAATATCTCCACCTAAAGCCTGCCAGTTCCCTTTGTGGAATCAGCTCTTACCCAAAGAAGATAACAAAACTGGGAGCTTAGATCAGACCTGGCCTAGTGGTAATTTCGAAGATAATTTTGTCCACCTTGACATGGCTAAATATTTTTTAATGAGAATAATTCCTGGTTTATCATACAGTCTGGCAGACCTGGGTGCACCAGTGATTAACCATGTGATTAGGCAAATTTATTCACCCCTTTGAGCCTCCCACTCCTCAGCTGTAAAGTGGAAGTAAGTCCCACCAACCATATAAATAATGTATATAAATACCAAGTAGAAGCTGGTTCCGGTGGTTGCACCTGTACTCACAGCTACTTAGGAGGCTGAGGTGGGAGAATCGCTTGAGCTCAAGAGTTCAAGGCTACAATGAGCTATGGTCAGGTCCCTGCACTCTAGCCTGGGCAACAGAGAGAGATCCTGCCTCTAAAAATAAATAAATCAGGCCCGGCACAGTGGCTCACGCTTGTAATCCCAGCACTTTAGGAGGCCGAGATGGGTGGATCACTTGAGGTCAGGAGTTCGAGACCAGCCTGGCCAAAATGGTGAAACCCCGTCTCTACTAAAAATACAAAAAATTAGTGGGGCATTGTGGTGGGCTCCTGTAATCCCAGTTACTCAGGAGGCTGAAGCAGAGAATTGCTTGAACCCAGGAGGCAGAGGTTGCAGTGAGCCAAGATTGTACCACCGCATTCCAGCCTGGGCGACAGAGCAAGACTATCTCAAAAAAAAAAAAAAAGAAAAAAAGAAAAGAAAAGAAAAAGAAGAATAAAGCTACTCAGCTACAGAGTAGGGCGTCCACAGAAAGCAAGTGGAGGGATGTGGTGTGTTTTTCTTATATAGGAGTCTTATCTATGTAAAAGCTAAGCTAAGCTGTGTCTATGTGTGAGTGAGCTGACAGCATGACAAAATTTATTATTCTATCGATTTAAAGAAAACATTCTTGGTGTAATGACATTCTAGTGTGAAAGTACATCGAAGCATAACTATAGCTATCCCGAAAGCACATACTGTTATGGGTATTGGGACATCTGGACTTTCCACTGCTGTAGGACTGTATCCTTTGGGGTATCTTTAGGCTGTTTTCTCAACTGTAAACATCTATGACCATGGTTGTGACTGGCAAGGAACATGCCTTGTTAGTCTCAAGATGGAGCTGAACTGAAAATGGCATTACTCTAGCTCTCCAAGGCTGCTGCTTCCCCCACACCTTGAAGATGGACTACATGGGAGTGGCATACACATGATTAGTCTCTTCTAGGGCAGATCCCAGGCTTACTCCTTTGCATGAGCTGAATCGTGTCCCTCCAAAATTCATATGTTGAAGTCCTAACCCCCAGTACCTCAGAATGTAACTCTATTGAGAGACAGGATCTTTAGAGAAATCGTCAAGTTAAAATGAGATCATTAGTGTGGCCCCTAATCTAATATGACCGGTGTCCTTGTAAAAGGGGGGAAATTTGGACAGAGACATGCATAGAGGGAAGACAATATGAAGAGACAGAAAATGTCATAGAGATGTCGGGCACAGTGGCTCGTGCCTGTAATCCTAGCATATTGGGAGGCTGAGGTGGGGGGATCGCTTGAACCCAGGAGTTCAAGACCAGCCTGAGCAACACAGCAAGACCCCATCTCTATTTAAAAATTAAAAAAAGGAACCAAAAAGCATAAATAAAAAGAAAATAGAAAATGTCCATCTACAAGCCACGGATAAAGGTCTGGAACAGATCCCTCCCCACAGTTCTCAGAAGGAATCAACCCTCCCAACACCTGGATTTTGTCTCCAGAACCGTGAGACAATACATTTCTGTAGTTTCAGCCACCCAATTTGTGGAACTTTGCTATGGCAGCCCTAAAAACACGAATACACCACATAACACGGGCAGTCATACTTGAGAGGCTGTTCTCATAGCACCTGCCCCACTTCCTGGGGCCAAGGGGCCGGATCCTGGGTCTGGGAAATGATTTCTAGTCCAATCGAGTGTTTGTTAGGAACTGAGTCTCCTCTGGCTTCAGCGTTTTCTTTGATGTGAAAGCTTCAGGGACTTATAATTAGAATCCCTCATTTGTTCACATGGATTAGATGTTGTCTCTTTGAGAAGGTAGTAATTACTCACAGGATTTTTAAATGAATCCCTATATATTTTAAATGTTGCTGTATTTAGTGTGGCTTGTGAATGTCAATAAGAAATAACATTTACAAGAAAGAACAGCAGATTCCTTGTTTTGAGTTTCCACCGGAGCAAAGCTGAAGAAAATGCCAAAATAATATGCAAATATTAATATGCCATATGTAAGGCTTCTTGGATTTTTTTTTCGGAGCTGTCAACACAATTCAGCCTCTCCGTTGTTATTCCTGGATGTTGATGATTTTTAATAGAATCCACTCTGAATTTCATTATATTGGGTATGTTCCCAGTGGACTCTAACTCCTCAACATTATTTCTTTGTTTGTTTGCAGGAAATTTTGATTGGGTAGGGAATGATTTCACTCAGAATGCTGGCACGGGCCTTGTTATCAACCAGGCAGATGTGAGGAACAACAGAAGCATCATTAAGCAACTTAAAGATGTGTTTGAAAGGGACTGGTATTCACCGTATGCCAAAACCTTACAGCCAACCAAACAGCCGAACTGCTCAAGCCTGTTCAAACTCAAACCCCTCTCCAACAAAACTGCCACAGACGACACAGGCGGAAAGGATCCCCGGAACGTATAACATGATGAAGAAACTGACAGGACAGCTCTGTATTTCATATTTATACATAAAGGACTTGAGGAGAGAAAAAACACTTTAATATGTCTCTTTTTTTAGGGAAAAAGCACACTTATAAAAAATATTCTCTGAACAACACATAATACCTATCTAACAATATCTTAGCGTCGTGTACACTAAAATTAAGACTTTTGTATTTGTTACCTCTGACAGAGAATGTCATTCTGGCGTAGAAGTTAGTTTTTACGTTTGCATACAAATTTTAAGACTTTCATTCCTGCTCCTTTCTAGTTTTAGAACTTTTTCTGCTGACCTACCCGGTCAGTTGTTAGGAAGCTTAGCATGAGGTGGGCTCTTTAACACCATTCTGAGAACTGTTGATTTAGAGAGGAAGGTGAGGATTTTGCCTTGGAGAAGAGACTGATAAAACCAAGTGTTTATTCTTGTAAATCGTCTCCAAGACCTACACAGTCAGCTAAGCATGAATAGCTTACATCTCATGCCAGCCTTCAACACCCTTGAAAAATATCCTTTTCTGTCTTGCTCATTTTCTTCTTATACCATAAGTTTTATTTGGTATCATTTTCTCTTCTCACAAAATGTTCCTATTATATAGCATTTTCTGTATTCACCTCAACATTACTTCTAACTATGATAACATCTTTTGAAAACATACAAATTTTTCAGAATGGATACTAAGTGGAAATAGCAGTCTTTCATTTTCACCTTTCAACTGAATCCTTTTTTCCCCTACCGAATTGGTATTTAAAAAAAATCACAGTCAGCAATATGTATCCTTTCTCTCAAGCTCAGAAAAATTATGTAGCCACCTGCTAATATCCAGCAAGCTATCAAGTCTGCATTTTGGGAATAAAGTAGTTTTTCACATTTTTGTTCAGTTTATGGTATTATAAAGGAAAAAATCTCTATGCGTCAGTGGATTTTAATTTCTTTAGAATCATTATGCTGTTAAGAGTATGCCAGCAAACGTTTCTAGAGCTATTTAATATACCTTCTGCTATTTAATATACCAAATGCTTTTCAGAGAAATGCAATTTAAATACTGTGCTTAACATATTTTACTAAGAAGCAGAAATATTGAATTATTGTTCTATAACGTAATTGTGTGTTGTTGTTTTATATCTATACAATATATACCCCTGTATTAATGGAGACCATTGCTACACTAGGGAGAGGCATGGCCTCTTCAGAGCCCACAGCAGGTGGCCGGGATGTCCAGTTCCAATGTTGTTCCCGACTCTGTGACTCAAAGCGGAGCCCCTCACTGCTTGGCCTCGGGCTTCTCTTGGTAATGTAGACGGTAATAACTCACCTACCTCGCAAGGATGTTGTCACGGTAGGAAATATTTATAACTTGTTTTGAAATCAAAAGAACCTATATAAATGCTAAGCATTATAATATATAATCTTTTTCTTGAAATAAACTTTGTCATATCTTGATGGAATCAACACCAGGTCCTCCCCCAGAATCCACAAAGGAAAACAAATTCACAGCTTCCTGTTGCAAATGTGGATGAAAAGAGCACAGCCCCACAGAAACCCTGGTGGAGATCTGGATTGTCAACATTTCAATAGAACATTGCGTTGGGCTGCTTTGGCATGAATAACATCAACACAAAACTAGACGTCGTGCTAGAGCTGGTTCTTCAGGACCATAATATACATGTATTTTCAGAGCAAGGAAACACTCAGTTATTCTTTTTCATTTCTGGAGACTTGATTTCTAAATGCCAAAAGAGTGATCGAGGAGCCTGTGAATCTTATCCAATGGATTTACTTAATATAGAATGGCTATGTTGGTTATCCAGTGAGTGATCACATTACTTCCCTTCTTGTTATTTGCAAGTATTGCTTCACTAGATATTTAACCAGTTGATCAAGAGAGCTGGAAGGAAGCTGTATTTTTAAGGGTAGCATGGTTTTATGACTAATTGGGAGATTCTCACTGAAATTCTTCATCAATAATAGCCAGTCCCTAAGACTCTAAATATTTACCATATACACAATCCATATTTGAGTTGGGAGTTATAACTCTGCCAGTTATCCCAATAAAGTAAACGTGGCTTTGGTGATGATTTTAAAAAGAAAGCAGCCTGGGTGCGGTGGCTCACGCCTGTCATCCCAGCGCTTTGGAAGGCCAAGGCAGGAGGATTGCTTGAGGCCAAGAGTTTGAGACCAGCCTGGGTAGCATAGCAAGATCCTGCCTCTAAAAATAAATAAATACAGAAAGGAAAGAAGGAATCAGAATAGGAGTGGAGACAAACCTACCAAGTTCACACTCAGACAAACAAAAGCGACCTGAGTTGGTTTTAAAAAGGACATCTAAAGGGAGAAAAAAAAACCAAATAAACTAAAATTTGTTAGTTCTCAAGTTGTCCCCTGAAGTATTCATCCACAGCCATGGGACACTCATAGGCTTGGTGTCATGGGGCCCCTTCACTGTCACTATCTGCTGTATGTGCTACGAGAAGAGAATGTCATCCATTACGGAATGACCATCATTGCCATTTCCTTTTGAGGCCTGGCAAAATGCTATCACCAGGAGCCGCATCCCAGGCTTTTCTGCCAAGCAGCAGCAGCAGATGCCTACCAGACACAGCAAGCCCCTAATCAGGGGAGTCTGGGCAGCGGTGGTGACTCCATGGGGCCACACTGTCCTTCTGTGGCAGCCAGAAAAGTGACCCCCATACCAAGAGTGTCAGAAATGGGTTCATGTCTCCCAAGAGAACATTTCATTCTGCAGAACTTTCTTTCATTTGGATGCTTTAGCTATCCCTCTAGAGACGGCTTTCCTTTCTTTTAGACTTGTTTCTGTGCTAAACAAACTATCAACCTCCATTCCCCCCCACCCCTAAATATCCCAGGAATTACTTTCCAGGAGGGAAAGAATGCAAAACAAAAACAGGTTAATTTGACACCCTCTGGTGGATGTCCATGCCAGAAATTATGAGGAGCAGGGTGACTACTCCCCATTAACATTCCTGGATTTATTTCCCAAGAGGCAAAAAGGAAAACAAACACAATTAGAGACTATATCTTGGATTTCAGTACCACTAACACTAACTTAGTGCCTTATGTATCCTCAAGTGTTGATTTTAAACAATGACTTATTCTATGAGAACACTTCTCTCTCCTGTGGAATTCAAATGACCTTCCGATGGGCCTACCAGTTGAAAACTTCCATTTGAGCAGTGACAGTTTTTATGCTGCCTGTTCTCTTCCCAAGCCCCATCACCTTTATCCACCCCCCCGCCAAATCAAATCATTGCACACACCATCAAAGATCAATACTGTGGGCCTCCACTGCATTGTCACTGGCCACTAGCCTATCAAATAATTGAATCTCTGCTTGTCCAACCATTGGAGAGGAAGTGGAAGAGTGAGATGACATCCATGCTTTGTAAACAACAAGCTTTAGGTACCTGAACCTGATAGAAACAAGGAATGCTGAAAATGTCCCCACTGACTTAAAAGAATGCTGTAAAGAGATGCTTTGCAGACTTCCTAGGTCCTGTGGCACAGAGAATGAAAACCAGCGTCTTTAACAAGTCAAAGCAGACAAAGAAACAAAAGGTCTGCGGATACACTTTGCACCTGTGTAACTCTGGGCACCATTCGGGCCCTCTCTGTGCTACTGTTTGTCTCATGTCTGAATGGTTCTTGGTGAGAGGGGTCTGATCACATTTTTGGTTGATCTCACCCTTTGAAAAATGTGGGGGATTTTTTTTGAAATGCAGTTAATGGTTTAAGTGCCTCGATGAACCTGGGATGGATAGAAGCTCATTTCCCACCAGCCTGTGGCTATACTCAGTGACTCTGATTCATTCTGTTTGTTTTTAGGAACTTTTATTGAACTAAATTCCAAGGGGGGAGAAAAGACCATAAGAATTTCTTGATAAGATCAGATCCAGGGTCTATCTGTCTCAGGAATTCTATCCTACAATTAACTTTTTTTTTTTTCCACACGTATGACCACTGGTGTGTGTTTCTGTGTCCAAAATTCATTTCATTATTTTTAACTTTAGGAATGTAAAACGCTGCCATTACTTGCATAGAACAGCCACTTCCTATAATGAAAGATACTTTGTTATTGTTTATTCAAACTCAGTCCTTACGAACAGCCCCATATATTGTGGACAAATGTTTCATTCTTTTATCTTTCTGTACTTGTTCCCAATGAACTGGTGTGCTTTATTATACACCTTTTAAAGGCAAAATTAATATAACTTCCATTTGGCCCAAGGTAAAAAATTTTCCAATTTGATTTGGATTAGCATCTTTCATTTTCCTTTTATATGTTGTTAACAAAATAGCTGCTTACCATTTTCACCTTATTGACTTAAATGGACGGAGGCTTTTGAATAGCCCTGACATCAACCCCAGTTCGCAGCCTGTCTTTCTCATTTGAGAGAATTCCCATCTTTGGCTGAATTATGAAGATGCTGCTTTATACAGTGACTCAATGGGTATTCCTCAGAAGTTTCTTGAAGATGTAAAAATGAAATTTTCTTATTTTTGACCCATTAGCAGTCTTGTATTTACAAGGTTCTAAAACTTCACTGGTCATTAACGCTTCTTTTGGCAATTTGAAAAAAAAAAGTTACATTTAATAGACTATTACACATTTTCTTTTGCTATGTTCAACTACTAAACTTCTAATTCTGTTACAAAAGGTATCTTGAATTTTTAATGTTCCTTTATGTAAATAGGATAAACTTGTACCTGGACATATCTATATTATTAACCTTAAGATCCCTAAATAAATGGGTTTGATAAAGGGTTGAATTTGGGGGAATCATTAAAATTATCAAACCTTTCGTATAACCAGATGCTCAGTTTTTTCAGAAGTAAATATTAGATGGCTTTTTCATACTGTGAGATGAGGCATTTCTTTTTCTCCTCAAGCTGATCTCAGAAACAAATCAGTCTCTCATCAGTAACCAAGCTGTACTGTGGTAAATTATGAAGAAGGTAGATGCGACTGGTCCAATGGGCCCACTGTTTTGTATATTCACACAAGGAGGCATCTTTGAAACACTATACCTATCTCTTTCTCTAAAAAAAAAAAAAAAAAAAAAAAAAAAACCTTTCCAATAAATGTTCATTCTGAGTACATTAATTTTTAGTGAGAAAAAGAAACAATCATAGAGACCCCACTAGAGAACCTAGTGTCTGCTCAGCAAACCCATATTGAGCTGTAGAGCATACTTTAACAGCCATCTCAACCAGCTCACCCAACGTGTAAATTCCCTTCCCATTTGGGCATAGAAGTTGACAGCCTAGAGTGTCAGGACGGCCGAGTGGTCTGAGGCTCCAGACTCAAGGTGAGAAGCTGAAAACCTACTTGAGCCAAACAATTTGGAGTGCTTTATATGGTTCCTTTCTCAAGACCCACACAGGATAAAATTTTGTTGATTTACTAAAGTAATTTGGATTTGAGGCAGTCTTATCTCTGAAAGGATATGCACAGCATGTAATAAGGTGGGTGCTGTTTTCATAAAGAGAATCAATCTGAGAGGCATACTTTTAAAAAAAAAACTATCATTGGAGAGGTTAGCAAAGGCTTAAAAGTGAACTTTGAGTCTGCAATAGTCAATAGTATTCTGATTTTATTGGCAGTTTCTGAATGCTACAATTTCGTGTTTTTTTTTAAAAAAATGGGCTAACAGTGCGATGACAGTCATGTACAAGGAGTCCAATTAAATCATAGTAAGGGTGAAGATTATTTGTGATTTATTTTTATATGAGAGATAAATTAGTAAGGAGAAAAGATCTCTTTTTATGAAGTGGATATCTGGCTCTCAAACCCATTCCTTTTGGCTCAGACATTAAAAAATTATTAATTCCCTTATGGACTCTCCTATTCCCCATGGGCGGAAAATTCTGAAAAGCAGATGAGACATTCTGAGCCCCTTGCAAGACAAACACAGATGGTTTCTAATTTAGAGTTTTCCCACACAAATGCACAACCAATCTTGGAAATATGACCTCAATTCCCAGGATTAAAAACGTTGAAATTATATGTTACTTTCCAATATAAATAGAGGATGAAGATCTTTAAAGACAACTCAGAAAATATGATCCAATAACATTCAAATCAGAGCGTAATCTACAATTTCACTTAATAGTTAAAAGTGAAGATTAGCTGCTTCTTTAAAAGGGGTGAGTTATTAAAGGCAACATCCTAGAAAATGTAATAACAAGAAGGCAACACCATATTTTCAGCAAAGTTATGGTACTGATAAAGCACTTTGAAAATCCTCTGTAGGAAAATGTCATTGAGAAACAAAGGCCAATTTGTCTCCAGTGATAAAGCTATCTCTCATTCATATTTCATAGGTGGATCTATAGTTTTCCTGGTGTCTTGGAGAGACCCTACCTCCACAGCTCCTGCAGGAGCAAAACCATGTTTTCTGCCATGTGAGCTCTCTACACTGGCCACAGCTGATTGTACCAAGGTTCAGTACCCGACCCAAAGAGACTCATTTTCAGGCCAGAGGGCGGCCTAAGGAATGAAAGTGTACCTAGCAGTGGTATTCTTGTTTGATGGTACCTGGCCCCACCAATCACGGCCCTCTTTTAGGGAGTTTGAACACCAGAAAGTAAATGATGAATAGGAAGCACAGCCAGAATAGACACAGTCACCGTAATGGTGACTCTGAGAACAGTGACAGCAGTTACTTCTGCAGTCAAGACAATTTGAGGTCTTGTTGATTCACCATTCTGCTCTTAGCTTACTGGAGAAATACTTGACTCCTGAACAATGAGTCTGGACTTTGTAGTTCCTGGGTTGCTTTTTTTTTTTCTTCCTTTCTTATGTATTGACATAAATAAACTCACATTAACTGAAGTAACCTGTGTGTCTGTTCTTTGAAACCTGGAAGGGCCTAACACGATAAAGTGAAAGCTATCCTCGTTTTTAAGTAGCTTGGAAGGAAAAGAGGAGAAAAAAAGAAAACACTGTAGTATACCTTGTTGGGTCGGATAGAGACTCATGTCGGAGATCTCCATGGTGAAGCATGTGGATCCATGCCATAAGGGTTAAATATCAAATCAATAGTAATCAAATGTGTTAGACTCATAAAGTGTGTTTGAAACATTGAGCATGGAAAGTTAGGAAATGACTACATGATAGACATAGAGACTGTTAGAGCTGGGGAGCGGAATTAGAACTCTTGAAGCCCAGACCCACTATTTTTCTATATGAGGAAAATGAGGTGTAGAATACACAGAGTTAAGTAGAGACAGATGTTATAAATTTAGATAATGTTTTAAAATACACAGTCTAATGATCGACTTAACAAATGCAGAAGTTGCTAATAGTATGCTAAATATTTGGTGTAAATAGGCAGTTTACAGAAATGTGTAGAAGACACAAGTGAAATCACTCCTAGGAGGTCTGATGGAGGAAGGTGGGTCTATTGAAATGTCATAGGAGGAAATGGAGGAAGTGGGGGTAGTATCAAGACACATTTATCCTGCATGGCTCCCAGCTCAATTTAAGTAGAGATTAATAATATCAGAAGGTCTAGAGTTAGATGATTTTTAAGATTATTTATTTACTTTGGTGGTGGTGTGTTAGATATTTTGTTTCACATTTAGCCTATGGTGGACACTCATTGAAAAAGAATGCCATAAGCTACCATTTAGCATATGGGTTGAAAACAAAATTCTGTATTTTGGAGTTTGTCACTCAGCCAGTTAGTTTGTAGTTATTTATATAAAAAGGATGCAAGAGCTAGGACATTTAAGGAGTCTAAGGTCTGCAGACAGTGACATATTGCTGAACTGTTCCTATGATCGTGCAATTTGGGGAGCCTAGTTATGTTATGCCATAGTGTGATGGTCAATTGTGTGTGTCAAATTGACTAGGCTACTGTTCCCCGTTACTCAATAACACACGAACTAAGCCAGGTGTTGCTGTGAAGGCTTTCTGTGGATGTCATTAAAGTCTATAATCAGATTTTTTCACTAAGAAAGATTTTCCTCGATAATCTTAAGTGGGCCTCAAAAGGTCTTAAGAGCAGAACTGAGGCTTCCCTGAAGAAGAAATTACACTTGTGGACTACAGCATCAGCTCCTGCCTGAGTTCCAGCTTACCCTTCCTGGTGAGCTGCCAATGGATTTTGGACTTGCCTAGCAACCCCCACAATCACGTAAGCAAATTCTTTCAATAAATCAATTTCTCTGTGTGTGTGTGTGTGTGTACACTGGTTCTATTTCTATGGTAGAATTCTGATACAAATAGTAATAAATAATCCCCAAATCTTAGTGGTTTAAAACCACAAAGGATTTTTTTGTTGTTGTTCACACTACATATTCATCATGGGTCAGCAGGGGTGCTCAGCTCATCTTGGCCATTTAAAGACCCAGGTTGACAGAGCAAATGTTGCTGGTCACCATGCCAGAGGGAAAAGAGATTGCTGGAGGGTCTTACATGAACTATTAAATTCTCTGATCAGGAAGGAATACATGTCACTTCTGTTTACAACACAATGGCCAGAGCTAGTCACATCATTTTACCTAGCCTGATGTTAAGAAATACAGTCCCACCAGCATTTCTGGAATGGTGGAGAAACCAACATATTTAGTGTATAGTATTAATGACTAACAGAGTTAATTTCAAAAACACAAACTTATCAATGTGCTTCTCATTTAGAGTAAAGACAAATTCATGAGGACTAAAAGTAAGAAATGTTTAAGAATGATTAGGAATATAAGAATTATAAGATCAAAGTGACTCACTGAAGAAGAATGAATAAATGTAACAGTTCCCTAAGCTTTGTTGTTAGTAGCATTAAAAAAAAAAAATGCCAAGTTCTGAAAATTTACTGAGATGTCAACCAGCTGACTTACTGCTTGAGCAAGTACAAAAATAGTCACCAATATAAGTTCAGATAACTTTCTTTAAGGTGGCCCTGGGTTCCAGGTATCTAGATAGGTGGGCTTCGGTGCCTATCAACCTCTAAAATAACAGATAAATAAGAGCATAACCAAAGAGGAATGTTCTCAACTGAGCTTTGTAGATTTATTGAAAGTCTTTCTACACAAGGAACCTCAGTTTGCCTTTGACTTTCATAAACTCATCTTTTAATGTATGGTATTTCTCTTTACTATATAGGTTTCCTGGTCATGAATCTTTATTACCAATTTATCTTAAAATTATATCCCTGGAAGCAGAAGGGCTTTTTAACAAGATGTCATATATTCTCTAAAAAACTTATCTTTCACTTTCATGCATGCTGGTTTTAAGAATCAAACATATAACAAAAAATATTGTGTTTGTTTTATGTGTGAAATGACATACAGGGGAGAACCATTCAATGTAACATTGATTGAACTCCAATTCTGTGCAATCCTGGAGTTGTTGCTTTGGAACAGACAATAATGAATGAGACCTGCCCCTGTCCTCAAGGGGCATCTAGTATGAAAAGCAAACCCGAACATGACTATGCAGTTTGAGTAAATAATATTCTAGCATTTGCCTGCCACCGTGTCCTAACCAATCTCATCAGTAGAAGTGTGGTTTAAAGCAATTTAGTGCAGATAAATGTTTCCCCAGAGACCCAGTAGAGGATGGGACAGTCAGGAATAATGCAATGTGTCAAAACCAGTTGGCCCACTCACTACAGGGGCACACACTTCTTTATGAACCCAGCTGGGTTGTCCCCCAAAAGCATCTCACTTGCCTCCATTGTCATGAGCTGTGTGTATCAAGTGTTAGGTAGTGGGAGCAGTCCATCCTAGACTGCAGGCAATAGGAGCACATTTTATGGTGAGAATTTTAAAAACAGTAAAATCACTAAAAGTCACCCACTTCTTACTATCACCATCTACCAGCAGTTCTAAACAATGTCAGTGATAAAATACCCCTCAGGGAAAAAATTTTTGTTGGTCTGTGTATTAACCAATTGACTACACACAGAGAGGACAACTCTCATTGCCCTGCCCTTGGCATACTACCATGCTCAAGTGACAGTTTTCAGTTTCTGGAAAGGGTGAAAAACAATTACATTATTTACCAGAAATCCCAAGGAGAGGCTGGGTGTACTGGCTCACACCTGTAATCCCAGCACTTTGGGAGGCCTAGGCAGGTGGATCACCAGAGGTCAGGAGTTCGAGACCAGCCTGGCCAACATGGCAAAACCCTGACTCTATTAAAAATACAAAAAAATTAGCCAGGCATGGTGGAGGGTACCTGTAAATCCCAGCTACTTGGGAGGCTGAGGCAAGAGAATTGCTTGAACCCAGGAGAAGGAGGTTGTAGTGAGCCGAGATCATGCCATTGCACTGCAGCCTGGGAGACAGAGAGAGACTCTGTCTCAAAAAAAAAAAAAAAGAAAGAAAGAAAAGAAAAGAAAAAGAATGCACTGATTTAACAAATATTTAATAATCATATATTGTATTTCAAGTTCTGTGCTGAGTCCTGGGCACATCAAGATGAAGAAGACAGCCCCTCCTCTCAGGGACCTCAGAGTTTAGGGAAAAAGGAAAGAAAAATGTGGAATGCTGTGTTAAAAATTTAACTAATATTTCCCTTCCTACAATGATGAAGTAGGTAATGTCAATCAATTTGCTGAAAACAACTAGGAAAGCTGGGTGAATGTTTTAACCCTACATTTGTTTGAATGCATCAGAGATACACCAAGGTAGGGAGGAAAATTGCATGGTCAAGATCAGAGAGATGTGCATTGAGAGGTTGAGAAGTGAGTCAAAAATTTGCAGCCAAGGGCCTGGCACAATGGCTCATGCCTGTAATCCCAGCACTTTGGGAGGCTGAGGTGGGCAGATCATGGAGTCAGGAGTTCAAGATGAGCCTCGCCAACATGGTGAAACCCCATCTCTACTAAAAATACAAAAAAATTGAGTCAGGTGTTGTGGCACATG
Organism: Homo sapiens; assembly: GCF_000001405.40. Classification (NCBI taxonomy): domain Eukaryota; kingdom Metazoa; phylum Chordata; class Mammalia; order Primates; family Hominidae; genus Homo; species Homo sapiens. Next base: position 242,078,948 of record NC_000001.11, on the reverse strand, counting down.
CCTGTAATCCCAGCTACTCAGGAGTCTGAGGCAGGAGAATTGCTTGAACCCAGGAGGCAGAGGTTGCAGTGAGCTGAGATCGCACCATTGCACTCCAGCCTGGGCGACAGAGCAAGACTCCATCTCGAGCTAAAAAAAAAAAAAAATGCAGCCACTTTTCCTTAGAGCTATCTACTGATTCCAGAAGCACAAATGCTAAGCAGAGCTTTCAACAGATGCAAGGGGTTGGAAATACAATATTGGAAATCAGACCACTAGGGGAGATGGGTCTCTATAAGACCCGAGGCTTTGGGTTGGGACTCTGAAGGATAATACATGAGAAGTACAGATGACTAAGAAATAGAGAAGCCCCATCAGAAAGCTTCAAATCATCTGTACCTCCTGTTGAATTAAGATGATGTGGGGTAAGGCCAGGTGCAGTAGCTCATGCTTGTAATCCCCACACTTCGGTAGGCAAAGGTGGGAGCATTGCTTGAGGCCAGGAGTTTGAGACCAGCCTGGTCAACATAGTGAGACCCCATCTCTACAAAAATAAAAATTAAAAAATTGGCTGGGTAGGTGTGGTGGCACACACCTGTAGTCCTAGCTACTTGGGAGGCTGGAGCAGGAGGGTCGCTTGAGCCCAGGAGTTTGAGGCTGCAGTGAGCTATGAACACACCACTGCACTCCAGCCTGGGTGACAAACAATAAAAGATGACATGGGCTTAGCCATCTACAAGAAGAAAACAAATCTTCTGAGGGACTATAACATTCAAATGATTATATAATCCCCCATGTTTTTTGAATACACTGGTTGGTACTCAATGAAAAGAATCTATTTAATACAAAAATTAACTCAAGATGGATTGAAGACTTACATAAAACTATAAAACCCAAAACTATAAAAACCCTAGAAGACAAATCTAGGCAATACCATTCAGGACATAGGCATGCACAAGGATTTCATGACAAAAATGCCAAAAGCAATTGCAACAAAACCCAAAATTGATAAACGGGATCTAATTAAGCTAAAAACATCTGCACAGCAAAAGAAACTATCATCAGAGTGAACATACAACCTACAAAATGGAAGAAAATTTTTGCAAACTCGGCATCTGACAAAGGTCTAATATCTAGCATCTTTAAGGAACTTAAATTTACAAGAAAAAAAACAACCACCACCATTAAAAAGTAGGCAAAGGACATGAACCAACACTTCTCAAAAGAAGACATTCATGTGGCCAACAAGCATATGAAAAAAAGCTCATCATCACTGGTCATTAGAGAAATGCAAATCAAAACCACAATGAGATATCATCTCACAACAGTCAGAATGGCAATTATTAAAAAGTCAGGAAACAATAGATGAGTAGCTGGGATTACAGATGCCTGCCACCACTCTCAGCTAATTTTTGTATTTTTAGTAGAGACAGGGTTTCACCATATTGGCCAGGCTGATTTTGAACTCCTGACCTCAAGTGATCCCCCCCGACCTCGGCCTCCCAAAGTGCTGGGATTATAGGCATGAGCCACCGTGCTTGGCCTGAAAAAATTTTTTAGCACCTCAGAATTGTAAAGAATACATGGGTGGCTAAGATGCAAGAAATGAAATATGAGTGTTTTGGAAAAGAAAATGGGTGAGGACCATCCAAGCTGCAGAAGGTGTGAAACAAATGGATGTAGGGATGACTGAGCCAAATCTCAGGCCACATGTTTTTCATTTAGTTATAAGCTAGCTTTCAACCAAGCTATACTTATTTTTATTTATTCATTTATTTATTTTCTCTTGCTATATAGACTTTAGGAATATGCTTGTTTTTAAATAAAAACACTGACCATACCTGGGTCACTCTTTTTATTCTTTTGTAAGAGTCAACAATAAAAAGTCCTAAGTCAAAAAATCAGCCTCCAATATAGACAGCAGGTTTGGAATATTATTTTCACTCCAGCAGTTATCCCTTCTCCTGCCTGATAACGTAGCCGAGCTGTGAAGTTTCACAGTGGCACTTACACGGACATGACTGCACTTAGAAAACATGAACTTGAGTTGACATTTTTGAAAACGAATATACAGAGCAGTGAGATGTTTCTTGGTTCCAGAAGGTAAATCTTGAGTGTCAGCATTTGGTTTCTAGAACTTACACGGAAAAATCCCTTTCTGGAAAAACTATAGATCCTGATTAAGAGTCTTTAGAGGAATCAGTAACCATCTCACAACATCACCCTCCTTGTCTTCCCTTCCATCCTGAGTAGGGGGTGGTGTCTCCATGGGGAGAGGCCCCACAGAGACAGAGACAGTCATAGCTTGCTGTGTCCCCATCACTGAACACAATGGGGGGCTCGTACTAGGCATATCATCAACAGTTAATGAATGAATGAATGAAGTTAACGTGTTGCTCTTATGGCCATTTTCTGATGTGCAAATGGAAAGGACATGCCTTTATATATGAATTGTCCACACATGAAGCTGCCCTTTCAGCCATGATATGGTTTTGGCTAACCCATTTACGTGCACTAGGACCGATCCTTGCAGGATTTTACAGATTCCTGATCAGCTGAGGTTTGAAACCACAAAGCTGTGCCACTGCACACACTCTTCCAGATGAAACCTCCTGAGGAGACACAGGCAGTTTCTACCGCAGCATGTGATGCCTGCAGAGTTTCCTGGTTCTCCTGGCTTAGCCTCAGTGGATGTTGTTGAAACCAGTTGAATTTAGGGACTAGAAAGACCAGCTGGCTGCCATATCTGGGTTGACACCAAGGTTTGGATCCCATTTTTCGGGACACCTTGCAGTGATTGGGCTTAAGGAAGATTCACCCAGAATAACCAAACTCAAGTTATTAATGTATAAGCTAAACTACCAACTCATTTACAATGAGAAATTCGACTTCCGACGTCAGCCCATCTGTGTATTCTCTCTTCATAGGGAAGGCTACCTGGAAATTCTGGAAGAATCATAAGCTTGCTTGGTAAGTGTGGAAATCCAAGTCAAGGGAGTCATGCGGACATAGGAACATGCCTGCCAAGGAATCCAAGCACCCTACTGACTGGCTGGAGTTGTTTCCTGCTCTTGAATGTTGGCATAAATATGCTTACAAGGTCTTGCTCATTGGGCTTCTCTTTTATTTCCACTGCCTTTTTCCAGGTAGGACTTTGGTTATAGAGTTGAGCGAGGCTATTTTTCTGAACTTGAGGCAGTTCAAATCAAGGTGTGTAGAGAGAATCCTCCTCCTCCATCCCCCCTTTGTAACCGCTAAATTAAGAAGGACGTAGGCAAATGCGGTGGCATGCACCTGTCGTCCCAGCTACTCAGGACGCTGAGGCTGGAGGGTCACTTGAGCACAGGAGTTGAAGGTTGTAGTGCACTATGAATATGCCTGTGATGACACTGCCCTCCAGCCCAGGCAACAATAGTGAGACTCCGTTTCTAAAGTAAAAAAAGATGTTGCTTCAGAGTGTTGACCTAAAGCAAGGTCTCCTCTGAAAAGTGAGTACAGAACATGTTGTTTCTTCTTTCCCATAATATCCTCTCTAAATCCCGTGGTGTAAACCCCTAGGCCTGGGTTGAGTATAAAGATTGAAAATGTGCCAGGACCATCACTGGTCATTAGAGAAATGCAAATCAAAACCACAGTGGGATACCATCTCACGCCAGTTAGAATGGCGATCATTAAAAATAGGAGAAAACAGAGGCTGACAAGGATGTGGAGAATAGGAACAGCTTTTCTGGTTGTTGGTGGGAGTGTAAATTAGTTCGACCGCCCCTTAACTACCTCTTCCATCCACTACTTTGTTCCTACTTTCACAATGGTGGGACCACCCTTCCAACCCGCTAATCACCCACACCAGAAACCTGTGAGTTACCATTGTCTCCCCATCACCCATTAGGCAACAAGTAATTTTTACTGCTCCCTCTAAATTATTTCCAAATATATTCATCCTGTACACCCCCAGTGCTTTTGTGTAGCACCTCTCATGCCTATCTTTTCTTCTGGTTTCTGAAACAATCTTCTTGCCTCCGATATTGCCTGCATCCAAGACAACTCAAGAGCTCTTCCCAACATACTCATTTGACCACAGACTGACAGCTCTAAACAAATTTTGCTGCCCCAATTTTTGGCAGGATAAATTCTCATTTCCTTAGCCTGACACATCAGGAGTTCAGATCCAGTCTCAGCTCCTCTCCCACTCATCCTGTCCCTTCTCCAGAAGCCTCCCATACTGCACACACCCCTGGCCTCTATAGCTACTTGTTCTTCCCTGGATCTTTCTCCCTTTCATAAATTTCCATGCTGTTTCCTCAGCTGAAGTCCCCTTTCACTGTGGCTGCTGGCCAATGCCTACCTGTCTTTAGAACTTGTCCCAGACATACTCTTCTCTGCCTTGACTGCCTTCCACATTCTTCCTGCTGGGTCTGGAGTCCGCAGTCCTAACCTTTACCACCTGGCTCACTACAACATCATGAGTGGTGTGCTTTAGGGCCCCAGCAGACTGGGGGGTCTTGGAAAGCAGCACTGTCTTAACCCTGCTTGCCCAAAGCTCAATAAATATTGTGAAATAAATTAATAAATAAATATGCCCATTGCGGTGGCTCATACCTGTAATCCCAGCACTTTGGGAGGCCAAGGCTGGCAGATCACGAGGTCAGGAGATCGAAACCATCCTGGCTAACACGGTGAAACCCCGTCTCTACTAAAAATACAACAAATTAGCCAGGCGTGGTGGTGGGCGCCTGTAGTCCCAGCTACTCAGGAGGATGAGGCAGGAGAATGGTGTGAACCCGGGAGACGGAGTTTGCAGTGAGTTGAGGTTGCGCCACTGCACTCCAGCCTGGGCGAGAGAGCAAGACTCCGTCTCAAAAAATAAATAAAAAATAAATAAATAAATAAATAAAGTGCCCATGATAGTGAAAGCTATTCTAGAACTAGGGTATTAGAGAAATACAGATTTGAGTATTAGTTCTGCCACTTATTAGCTGTGTGACCTTGGGTATATTAATCTCTCAGAACCTCTCTTTCTTCACCTGAAACAAAGGCATCATAGGAGATTCATCAGAGGCTTAACTTTGTCCAGCCTCAGTCGTGCACCTGAAAGGTCTTAGGACACAGTGTCGCTTGTGTGGTGCAACCAGGCCTCCCTTAGACCACACACTACAGTCACCGTGACGGCATGGCAATAGTCTTAAATTTCCTTCATGATTATTCTTTAATTTTTTTTCGAGATGGGGTCTCACTCTGTCACCCAGGCTGGAGTGCGGTGGAGCAATCATAGCTCACCACAGTCCTAAGCTTCTGGCCTCAAGCTATCCTCCCGCCTCAGCCTGCCAAGACCTTTACAATTATTCATAAATAGTGTCTTGGTGACATCCACAAACGGATAGTCACACATTCTGTGATCAGTTTTACTACTCTCTTTTCCAGCAGATAATTTATTTCCAAATAATTGCTACTCACTTCCCATTGGCCTCCAATTGATTGACTAAAAGTATGATCTTCACTGGGAGACAGATTGGGTTTTGAACATCATTTTCACAAACATACATAAAGGCATGTTGTTAGTCTCAGCTCCTGTAGCAAGGGCTGTGGACAGGCCTTCTCCCAACCTTCAGGGCCATATCACTGACAGAATCCCTGGTGTCATCGGTCACCTGAAATCTACAATCCAAGTGCTTGAAATGTGGCGACAGCTCCTGTCCTCCTCCCCTCAGGAGGCTGATGGTCACTGCAGAGCAACCTCCATAAACACTGCCTTATTTCCCATCCTGGTCGCTTTTTCCCCTTTTCATGCCCTGCTCCCCTTTCTTTCCTATGAAATTGGGGTGTAGGGGGACTAGGGACATGAGCAGAGAAAAAGAGACTCTCTGGTCTCTTTGCTGTCTTTTGTGCCCTTCCCTCTCGCTTCTGTCCAACTCAAATAAGGCTCAGGAAAACCAAGAATGCGAATCCTCATAGGCCACTTAAGTGTGATCCAGCAAACGTTAGGATACTAGAAGCATTGGTAGAATGGGTCTAAGTTAAGAAGCATGGAGCCAAACATGGTGGCATGTGCCTGTAGTCCCAACTACTCAGGAGGCTGAGGCTGGAGGGTCACTTGAGCCCAGGGGTTGAAGGTTGTAGTGCACTATGAATATGCCTGTGTTGACTGTTCTCACCAAATAGTTGCTGGTTTCTTCCAGAATGAGTGGCTTAGGAAAAAACAAAGCAGAAGTGGCAAAATCTTTTATGACTGAGACTCACAAATCATACATGGTCATTTCCAACACATTCTATTCACCAGAAAGGATGATTAAGCTGGATATGCCTTCAAAAAGAAGAGAATTAGGGTCTATGAAAGGACTTAAGTAAGTTTGTGAAATATGAAAATAAAACACAAAAATATAGAAACTTTATTTCTCAACATAAGCTTCATCAAGTTCAAGACACTTTTATAAGCAATAATACCGACCCCACAAAAACTAAGGTCCTGGGAATTTAACCATGTCAAAACGGTCTTTTTTACATTATTAGCTGAAGAAAAATGGGTGCCCTTTCAAGTTTTTTAAAAATCAGGAAAGAAAAAGAAGAAGTTAGTGGCAGCCAAATCGGGGCTAAAAGGTGGATGCCTAATAATTTCCCATTGAAACTCTGGCAAAACTTTTTTTTTTTTTTTTTTTTTTTTGAGACAGAATCTCACTCTTCCAGGCTGGAGTGCAGTGGCACCATCTCAGCTCACTGCAACCTCCACCACGTCCCTCGTTCAAGCGATTCTCCTGCCTCAGCCTCCCAAGTAGCTGGGACTACAGGCACCTGCCACCACACCCAGCTAATTTTTTGTAGTTTTAGTCAAGATGGGGTTTCACCATGTTAGCCAGGATGGTCTCAATCTCCTGACCTCACGATCCACCCGCCTCAGCCTCCCAAAGTGCTGGGATTACAGGCGTGAGCCACCGCGCCCGGCCAAAATTGTCTTTTTTTTTTTTTTTTTTATGAGAGAAATGAGGAGGAACATTGTTGTGGTGGAGAAGAATTCTCTGGTGAAGTTTCCTGGAAGTTTTTCTTCTAAAGCTTTGGCTAACTTTCTCAAAATACTCTCATAATAGCATATGTTATTGGGTTTTTGTTTTTGGCCCTCTAGAAAGTCAACAAGCAAAATGCCTTGAGCATCCTAAGACACTGTTGCTATGAGCTTTGTTCTAGAGCAGTCACTTTTTGCTTTGACTATGTTTTGTCTCGAAGATTTCACTGGAACAGGTGTGTTTGACCTCCTCTTAAAATTATTTGAAGCAATGCTTCAGGATCTTGATTTCACTTATGTAAAATTTCAGTTGAAAGCTCTGCTCTTGTCTGCAGCTGATCTGGGAACAAGAGTTTTCGAATCTATTGAGTGCAAAATTTTTCAAAATTGTGTAAATTTAACCAATTGAGATGGCGATGGTGTTGGCTGTTTATGCTGTTGTCATTCCTAAAGCAGGGCATGAACAAGATTAATTTTTTTTTCTGGTGAATTAATGTGAATTGTCTGCCACTGCAGGCTTTATCTTCAACATCTTATTATCCCTTCTTCAGATGAGTTACTCATTTGTAAACTTGCAAATGTTGGGGGGCATTATCCTCATAAACTTGTCACAAAGAATCAGTGATTTTACTATTCTTTCACCCCAAATCGCCATAAATTTGATGTTTATTCTAGCTTTAATTTTAGCAGAATTCATGTTCTTCTAATGGGACCTCTTTTCAAATTGGTGTTTTAGTTTTCTTATTATAATTCCTCAAATTAGATCCTGTTCAGAACAAGTTAGTACAAGTGCAAAATATTTTTGAAATCCATGCAAAAATATGCATTTCCCATGTACTTTGTGAAGATCCCTCATACTTTTTGAGGTTTCAAATAATTTTTGAACATATTTTTAAACTACTGCAAGAAAATTATCTATAGCACTGAATTTCAGATTTATGAACTTTGTGATAAGTATAATAACCAATGGAAATACCAGATGGGCAGCTAAGCCACTGAAATAGAACTGGAGTTAAATGATTGTAGAGGTATCAGTAAAGACCTGCAGGCATTGAAAAGCATTCAAAAATTTAGAAATAAAAGAACAGGATTATATGTAACATTTAAGAGGAGGAAGAAGAGAGAAGAGATATCAGGAAAAAAAAAAAAAGAACACAGAGAAGGACCAATAATAGCAAATGTTATGTAAAACTTAAGGACAGTGAAGCCATTTCTGTTCTCCACAGGAGCACTGACATTTCCTTGTCAATAGTATCACTGAAACACCTGCTTCCATTTCCAACCTCCTGTCTTTGTGAAACAGGGTTTTTTGCAGTGACAGCAACCAAAACAAGATTAGGGAGTAGACTGGACATAAACACCACATTTTGGGTGTCACTGTCTCCCATTACCCCCTGATGGAACTGTCTACTTGCAGGAAAACAAGCTCAGGGCTCCAACTGATTCTACATTATAGTGAGTTGTATAATTATTTCATTATATATTACAATACAATAATAATAAAGTATGCAATAAATGTAATGTACTCGAATCATCTTGAAACCATCCCCCTGCCCAGTCCATGGAAAAGTTGTCTTCCATGAAACCAGTCCCTGATGCCAAGAAGATTGGGGACTGCTGCAATATAGGAATAACAATATAAACAGAGGAAAACATGAAATTTATCACATCTTTAATAATATATGCCCTGATAGTGTACAGAATACACTAATTACATTCATTCATTTAAGTATCAACCAATACCTACAAACCACATACAAATGCCTGGAATTGTTTTAGGAGAACAGTGAACAAAAGAGCAAGAGAGACAGCAAATTAAAAATATACATTATGATTATCACAGCAAGACCCCATCTCTATAAAAAAAACTACACACACACACCAGGTAGTAATGAGTACTAAGAAAAAAAACATAAAGAAGAGTGAGAGGAGAAAGAGACAGATAAGTTAATTCATGTAGAACAATCAGGGAAGTTTTACTGCAATTATAGTAGTTACCATCGCAGGTTTTAGAATCAGACAGACGCCAGTTTTAATCCTGGCTCCACGTCTTATAGCTGAGTGTCCCATGGACAATTTATTCCACTATAAAATCTCAGTTTTCTAATTTCTAAATGTTTATTACATTATTAGAAATAAAAGCACATGAACAAACATAAACATACATAAAGAATCAAGAACAGAAAAATGATGAGACTATAGAATGAATCAAGAATGGTTATGAAAATGAAGACAATAAAACTGCCAAACTTAGACAATTCTGAAGATTAGAAGATAAATATGCATAAAAAATTTAGCATGACGTGTGGCATGTAGTTAGCCCATGGTGACTACAATTATTACCCTCATATTACTAAGGGAAAATATGTACCATACTTGGGCATTTGAAAAGCTATAAGACATAAGTTTTCAAATTATGCAAACACATAAAGATTCAATTTTATGTTAAATTAAATAGTTCCACCTTTAACACTTTTAAAAGAGATTCCTTGAAAGCATATGTCAAGAATCTCATGTAATGCTTTCTGCTTCTTAACCAAAGTTTAGAGGAACTTAACATTGAATCAACTCTTGAAATGTCGTTATATTAAAGAAACTATTTAAAGCAAAAATAAGCACAAGAGCTTTAACTTCTTCAAAGCTGCTTAAGCATTTCAACTAAAAACTCATTTGTCTTTCGAATACACAGGATTCTGTTTAGAAAAATTTTAACTAGAAAAAGTTGGAATTCTAAAGTAAAAAGTGCTGAAGGCCATAAAAATTTTGCACAGCATTTAATTGAGATGTCAACTGCGGGGTAGGGGGAACATTCTCTGAAGTTTGCTTTTATAACATTAAAGACTTATTTTTTATTACCAGCAAAACAGGGCGACTCATTCAGGTTGAATCTTGAAGGTAAAATTTAACTTAAGTTTTGGCTAATTTTTAAGCATTTCTCAGTCACCTACCACGATTTCATCTCAAAAACCCAAATCTCAATTTCATTTAGACATTTGGAATATTAAAAGGTTAAATGCTTCAAAATAATATTTATATAGAGGCTTACGTATGTGGACCAGGAATCTCCATGTATTACAAAGTTTATGAGAACATAACAAATGTTGATATACTCATTTAATTCTGAAATAAAAACTTACAACGAATGAAATTGTAACAAATCAGGAAAATTCTGTAGGCTACACATTTTAGGTCTAAAAATACAGGTATTAAACACTCAAGGATAGATCAAAGAAATCACAAGAGAAAATAGAAAATATCTAGAGACAAATTAAAAATATGAAGTACCAAAAGTTAAGCAATACATCAAAAGCAGTACTATAAGAAAAATTTATAGCTATAAATGATTAAAAAATAAGCTACCAAATCAGTAACTTAACTTTACACCTAAGGAACTAAAAACAGAGGGGAAAAGAGAGAACAACTAAAACCTAGCACAAGAAAAAAATGATAAAGATAGCAGTGGAAATAAGTGAAATAAGACAATAGAAAAACAGTATGAAAAAAAAAACAAAACCGAATTTGTTCTCTGAAAAAGATCAACAAAACTGACAAACCTTTAACTAGATTGACAAAAAAAGAGGATACTCAAACTACTAACTCGAAAATAAAATGGGTACATTACTACTAAATTTACAGAGTTAAAAAAGGGATGTAAGAGTACCATAAGGAACTGTAAACCAAAAAAAAAATGAATAACCTAAATAAAAATGAACAGATTCCTAGAAACAAAACACCTACTAAGACTGAATCAGAAAAGCTGAATAAACCTATTGAGCAAGGAGAGTCAGCAAGAAGATTGCATCAGTAATCAAAAACCCAGCAACTAAGAAAAGCTCTGGACCAGATGGCTTCACTGTTGAATTCTTCCTGATGTTTAAAGCAGAATTAACACCAGTTTTCCTCAAACGCCTTCAAAACGTTGAAGAGGGGGTAACATTTTCTAACTTATTCTATGAAGCCAGTACTCTGACACCAAGCCAGACGAAGACACCATAAGAAAACTACAAACAAACATCCCTTACAAATGCTGATGCAAAAATCCTCAACAAGATACCAGCAATTCAAATTTGGCAGTATATTAAAAGGATTATACACCATGAATGAGTATAATTGACTCCTGAAATAAAAGTACACTCCAACACATGAAAATCAGTGTAATACCACATTCACATAAAGAAGAAAAAAAACCTGTGATCATCTTAAAGAAGAAAAAGCACTTATCAAAATTTAGCCCACGTTCATGATAAAAGACACTTAATAAACTATAAAAAGAAAGAAAACACCTTAACATAATACGTTATATTAAAAAAAAAAAAAAGACAGCTAACATTATGGTGAAAGACTGAAAGCTTTTACCCTAAGAGCTTAAACAAGGATGCCTGCTTTTACCACTTCTATTTAACATAGTACTGAAGGTTCTAGTTAGTTATAAAGATAAGGCAAGTAAAAGAATAAAAGATATTCCAATTTTTTAAAAAGTAAAATTATCTGTTTGCAGATGACATAATCTTATATATTAAAAATCTTGGCCAGGTGTGGTGGCTCACACCAGTAACCCCAGCACTTTGGGAGGCCGAGGGGGGCAGATCATGAGGTCAGGAATTTGAGACCAGCCTGGCCAACATGATGAAACTCCGTCTCTACTGAAAATACAAAAAATAGCTGTGCATGGTCACCTATAATCCTAGCTACTTGGGAGGCTGAGGCAAGAGAATCATTTGAACCCGGGAAGTGGAGGTTACAGTAAGCCAAGATCACACCATTGCTCTCCAGCCTGGGTAACAGGGCAAGACTCCATCTCAAAAAAAAAACAAACAAACAAACAAAAAAAAAAAACTTGCAGTTTCTCTGAAATAAACTGTCAGATGCAATAAATAAAATTCAGCAAAGCTGCGGGATACAAAAATCAATATACAAAAATTAGTTTTATTTCTATAAACTATCTGAAGAAGAAATAAAGACAACTGTATCATTTATGACAGCATCAAAAGAATAAAATACTTAGAAACCAACTTGACCAAGGAAATGAAAAACCTGTACAGCGAAAACTATAAACATTGCAGAAGGATATTAAAGATGACACAAATAAATGAAAAGACATCGTGTGTTTATGGACTGGAAGACAAAACCTTGCCAAGATGCCATTGTTATCTATAGTCATCTACGGATTCAATAAAATCCCAATATTTGCAAAAATAGAAAAACCTATTCTAAAATACAGATGAAATCTCAAAAAAACCCAAGTAGCCAAGTCAATCTTTACAATGAACAGTTAGAGGACTAAGACCTCCTGGTTTCAAACTCACTGCAATGCTTTAGTACCCAAAACAGTATCATACCAGCATAGAGACAGACATAAAGCCCAATGCAACACGAACCAAAAAATATGTTCATGATTTTCAACAAGGGAGTCAACACTATTCACGGGGGGAAGGATAGTATTTTTTAAATGGTGTTAGAAAAAAAAATAGATATTTACATGGAAAAGAATGAAGTTGGAGCCTTACTTTACACCATATAAAAAACTTTATTCAAAATGGACCAAACATCTAATTGTAAGAGCTAAAACTATAAAACCCTTAGAAGAAAATTTAGGGAAAAATTTCAAAACATAGAATCTGGCAATAATTTCTTGGATATGACTGAAAGCACAGACAATGACAAACAACAAAAATACATAAAAAGAACTTCAAAGTTAAAAACTTTTAAGTATCTGAGGATACAATCAATAGATTGAAAATACAATTCACAGAGGGGGAGAAAATATCCACACATTATATATCTGATAAATAATTAATATCCAGGCTATATAAAGACCTCAGCAACAACAACAAAATAATCAAATTTAAACATAAGCAAAGCTTTTAAAATACACATTCCTTTACAGAAGATATACACATGACCAGTAAGCCCAGGATAAGGTGCTCAGAATCACTAATCATGAGAAAAATGCAAATGCAAACCACAATGCAATACCAGCTGACACATATAAGTATAGCTACCATCAAAAAAACCAACAACAACAAACCAAAACAAACAACAAACACCCAGAAAACAGCAAATGCTGGATGTGGAGAAGTCAGAACTCTTGCACGCTGCTGGTGGGAAAGTAAGATGGCACAGCCACTGTGGAGAACGGTAATCAGCATACAATCCAGTAATTCCACTTCTGGGTATATACCCAAAAGAATTGAAAGTGGGAATTTGCACAGATAGCCATGTTTATAGCAGCATTCACAATAGCCAAAGGGTAGAAAAAGCCCAAATGTCCATCTACAGATGAATGGATAAGCAAATATGGTCAATACCACAATGATATATTATTCAGCCTTAAAAAGAAAAGAAATTCTAATACATGCTACAACACAGATAAACCCTGAAAAGATTATGCTAAGTACAATAAGCCAGACACAAAAAGAGCAAATACCATATGCTTCCATTTTTATGACGTAGCTAGAGCAGTTAAATTCACCGACACAAAAGGTAGGATAGTGGTTGCCAGGGAATGGGGGGATGGGAAACGGGGAGCTATCGTTCCGTGGATACAGTTTCACTTTGGGATAAAACAGGTTTGGAAATGGATAGTGGTGATGGTTGCAAAACAATGTATTTGTACTTAATGCCACTGAATTGTATACCTCAAAATGGTCAAAATGGTAAATTTTCTGTTACACATATTTTACCACAGTAAAAAAATAGCAGATATTTTTAAATCTACATTTTTCTTTGAACTGTTTCTTTACATTCTTTGTCCATTTTTCAATTTGGTTTCTGGCCTTTTAATAATTTAGGATAACTTTATATATATATCATATATATTATATTGGGTAATATACAATAAATATATAATATAAAAATACATATATTATATATTACCCAGCATATATATTACCCAATATATTATATATTTATTATATATGATATATATTATATAATTATTTATATATTATATATTATTTTTATATATTATACATATATTACCCAAATTAGCTTTTTGTCTGTCATGTATGTTGCAAATCTATTTCTCCAGTCTGTTGACTTTTGACTTTGAGGCATTTTTCTCTCATAGAAAGTTTTCATTTTTATGGAGTCAAATGCATCAGTCTTCTATTCAATGACTTCATCATGGGTATGGTGTTTCAGTTTAGGATAAAGAAGTTGTAGATATGGATAAAGGGAATGGTTGCACAACACTGAATATACTAGATGCCGCTGAACTGTACATTTAAACATGGTTAAAATGGTAAGTTTTATGATACGTATATTCTACCACCAAAAAAGGGCCAGGCTTAGATGTTTATATATTAGGGGTTTGGAGTCTCTAACATTTATTCACCCTCCAGGGCTCTAATTTATAAAACACCCACATAAGAAAATATGGACTTCACAAATCTCCATGGCACCTTACAAGCCCCGCAGCAGGGGCTGTCTGGGAAAGCAGAGGTGGAAAACATCACATCAACTTGAGGTCAGTGTGAGACCTCCCATCCCCTACTCTGGAACCAGATGGAGGAAGGCATGCGTGCAGACTGACCTGGAGAGATGAAATGGGGGTGGGCAGAACAGTCCGCCCATGAGCCTAGACCTTAAGTGCTGTCACATGCTCTCAGGCACATATCAAACCAAGAAAGCAGGCTAGGAGGGTAACACATCCTCCTGTATACAGGGAGCTATGAAATATCTGAGCTGAGCAAGTGATCCACAAGAGGACAGAATCAGTATTACCTTTACACAGTGACCTGGCTCAAATAATTCCAGGCTGTCATTAACCAGGCAAGTTCTTGTTTCTATCTGAGGTAGGTAAACTAGAGGGGGTGCAGTAGGAGTTGGGGATAATGGAATAGAAAGCATAGTAGTATTTCTTTTAACTCTGTTATAAATAAAAAGTAAGGCCAGGCGCGGTGACTCATGCCTGTAATCCCAGCACTTTGGGAGGCTGAGGCGGGTGGATCATGAGGTCAGGAGATTGAGACCATCCTGGCTAACACGGTGAAACCCCGTCTTGACTAAAAATACAAAAAATTAGCCGGGCGTGGTGGCACACGCCTGTAGTCCCAGCTACTCGGGAGGCTGAGGCAGGAGAATCGCTTGAACCCGGGAGGTGGAGGTTGCAGTGAGCCGAGATCGCACCCCTGCACTCCAGACTGAGCAACAAAGCGAGACTCCATCTCAAAAAAAAAAAAAAAAGTAAAACATAAATGCCCTTTCTCAGAGCCCAAATGTTAGGTGAAAAAAAGGTTTGTCATCTCAGTCATGTGCTGTGGACTTTAGCAGAGCAGTACACACAGGGTTGTTTATCCTTTCACTGTGCATGTTGTGTGCTTTTCAATTTTATAAGGTACCTGATCCACTCATATCATACTAGCTGCGAACAAGGCCACTGAATATCACACCAGGTGGCCGCCATGTCTGTGAAGGGCAGAAACTGGGGCAGCCAAACAGCTGGCAAAGGCCAGCTAGGAAGTACCGGATGCCCACTCCATACAGGGCTCCACACTTCAAAGACAAAATAAACAAATGGCAGGCTGCCTCACTAGTTATCCTCCCAAATAAAAAAAGTTACCCCTCCAGGGAATGTGTGCCTACACACCTAAGTACATGCACACAGCTACATGCAAAGGGGAAAGGCTGGGAAGGAACCAGATCCACCTCTGAACACCAGTTACTTCTGGGGAAGGAGCAGGTGAAGCCTACTGTCAGCATTACTCACCTTTTTAACTGATGAGCTTATATCAATTTTGGCATTTTTTTTTTTTTTAAAAAAGGCAATTTGCACTCCTTGGGTGATCACACAGGCCCTGCAAGAATGAACCACCACCCACCACCTGCACCACTTCCCATGAGGCCAATTAATGACTCCCTTCAACGCTCAGCCCTCCCAGTCCTGTGCCATGCAGGGGGCTACTGGCCTCCTGGGGTCCAGGCCAAACCCACCCCACAGATTCCTGGTGAAACCAGCATGTATCCAAGGACCTTTCCCCAACCTGGGCCATGTGCCCACTGGATAAACATGCCTGTGCTTGCTCCCCTAGGACAGAGACTCCCTTTTCTTACAGTTGGAATGAGGGATGGGGAGATTTGATGGTGTCCTATACAGGTTGGATGTTAATCTGATGTGGCGCTGTTGGAGAAGCTTGCCTGAGTCAGGTGCATTCTCAGCACATGGTGTGTGCTGCCTCTTCAAGCTGCAGAAGTCCCAGAAGGTAAGTGCTACTGCAACCCCCATGTACTGATGAGCAGAGGTCAGGTGATCTGCAGATAGCCAAGCAGCTGCTAAGTGGCCAACAGGCTGGATCTGCATCTCACTTGCAGAAGCCCTGCCTGGCTGCTGGGGCTGCCCTAGAGACTCGTCCTGCCACCTCCTCCTGTTCCCTCCACAGCTATGCCAGCTTCTACCCATAGCTGCACTCCAGGTGGGGAACACCTATGGATACACTAGGGCACAACTACTCAAACTCCAGCATGCAGAAGGGCCCCTGCTCCATGTTGTTCCTATATCCAAACCCAAGCTCGTCTAAGGCCTTCAGCAAATCCAAGCCTCCCTGAATTCCCTGCTGAGACCAAACTGAGCCCTATGACCCCCACTATACTCGTTAGCTGCCAGTCCCAGCCCCTGCTCCCTCCTGGGCCTGTGTCTATACAGTTCTGAAGTCCTACAAGAATGTTGAGATCCTAAGCTGACTCTCACCCAAGGTGGTAAACAACCAGGGGCCACCAGGGGTATAGAACATACCCAGACAGGTTCTGCTGCCTGCAGGCTTAGTGTCCTTCCCCCACTACCCGCCATGCTTGCCAGGCTGGAAGGGGGACTCCAGAAACTTGGGAAGCCCCGGCCTGCAGCTGGCATATGAAGAGGCCTAGAAGAACACCACTACTGTCCATGAAGCCTCCAGATGGAACCAGGCAATTGGGAAATACATGGATACCAAGCGTGACCCCCACTCAAACCCAGGTGGGAACTGCAGCAGTGACTTGCCCCTCTGCCACTCCAGCTGTACCACTGGAGGAAGGAGCATCGGACCCCATGTGAGAGTGGAGACACCAGGCATGGGAAGGTTCCAATAGTTACTGCAGGTGAACCTTCCCAACTGGATCCATGCAATGCCATCTCAGGTGGGTGCACACCTGGGCTGGGCAAGGACACCCCTCAGAGGGTGACAGCCACTGAGGAGGGCTGTCACAGAGCCCCCTTTTCCTGCTCTGAGAACAGGTTGGGGGAGTAGGGGGGGAACCTCTCCCACCTCCCAGCTGCTTCCAGGAGCTACTTCAAGATGAGGCACTCTCCTGCCTGCCTGTTCCCATTTGGCGCAATAGGCCGTTGCAAATATTCAGAGAACAAAAAGCAAGGAGCCTCACCTGTCCCCGACACATCAGAGGCAGATGGAATCGCTCAGGGTTCCTGGGGTAGAACCTACACATCTGCCCATCCCCAGGCTATGCTGGCTTCATCTTTGTGTGACGGGGGTGGGGGGAATTACCAAGAGAATATCACAGAGGCCATGGACGAGTTCTACAAGAGGCAGGTGAAGAGCACTGTCCTGATGGCGCCCAGCACCCAGCTCACACACATCTCTTACTTGACAGCTTCCCCAGAGCAGGCCGTGAAGTCCAGGCTCCTTGAGAAGCCTGGGGAGATTTTGCTGGGCTAAAGGGCCTATCCCCAAAGGTGCCACCCTCACCAGTCTCATCCTGACAGTCTTGGATTATTTTTGCCCTGAGATTTTGGAGTGCAGGACAGGGAGACAAGAGACAGTGTGCATTAGCCACCTTTCCAGAGAGCATCAGCCCTCCAAGACTGGGGCAGGTCAAACCTCCAACTTGGGCATTTTTCTCCTCACTGGTTGCCATTTGAGGGAAGCAGCACTTGTGAGCACCTGCCTGTCTCCTCAGGTCCTGCTCAGAAAACCCACCTGTGCCTTTGGAGAGAGACTGCCCCAAACACACAGCCCCAGCAACCGCATCTATGGCCCCCAGGGCTTAATCCCCTTCTACATGGGGTTCAGTGCATGTGAGTACACAGTGGGCTTGATTCCTGCCCACTAGTACCTGCCAGATACCCCATGCTCACCTCATTAGGAGAATGAGGCCACACGGACACACCCAGGCCATCATGGTGAGGAGTAGCTGGGGCCCTACTTGCTCACCCTTCATTGCTGGTTCAGGGCCAGCTGTCTGGCCACATTCCTACCCTGAGGTGGGACGTTGAGGACATTGTCCACTGGGCTCACTGGCCACTTTTAAAGTCCCAGCAACAGAGGGCCAGCTGGTCCCCTGGAAGTTCGGTACACAGGATAAGCCAAGGCTTGCCTTCAGGAACAGGTTTCCCACCACGTAGCTGCCCAAAGCCCAGGGCAGCCTCAAGTTCATGTGAAGCCTTCCTGCCATGTCCACAGCCCATGCTGACCCCTTCTGGAGCCACTGGAATGCTTGTTCCTGGGCATGAGATAAGCCCAAGACAGCTGCAGCCTTGCAGGACCACTATGCCCATCTGGCAGCACCCAGAGAGCTGACAGAAGTAGGAGGTGAAACCAGATGCTGTTAGGATGCTTTATCAGGTAAAATCACATACTATGAAAATGCTTTGAAGTGCAACAGGAAGAGATGTAAAGACATAAAGAAAAATTGCGTAGTGACACTTGGCTATCAGAACACACTAAAGAATCCACACTCCATCCCCCCTTTACCCAGAAAAGGAAACTTCTAGGCCACCTCCTCCTCAGCAGACTCCTCAAACTCCTCCGCCTTGGCCGTGGCATCCTGGTACTCTGCCATAAGATTTTTCAGGCTGCTCTCGGCCTCGGTAAATTCCATCTCATCCATGCCCTCACCCGTGTACCAGTGGAGAAAGGCCTTGTGCCTGAACATGGCTGTGAACTGCTCCATAGTGCGCTTGAACAGCTCCTGGATGGCCGTGTTATTACTGATTCCAGTGGCCGACATTTCTAGCCCCTTGGATGGGATGTCACACGTGGCTGTTTTTACATTGTGAGGGAGCCGATGAGCAAAGTGGCTACTGTTCTTTTGAAGATTGAGCATCTGCTCATCCACCTCCTTCATGGACATGTGACCTCTGAAAATGGCAGCCACCATTAGGTAGCAGCCATGACGGGGTCACAGGCAGCCATCATATTCTTAGCATCAAACACCTCCTGGATAAGCTCAGCCACCGTCAGGGCCTGGTACTGCCGGCTGCCCTGGCTGGTCAGTGGAGCAAAGCTAGGCATGAAGAAGTGCAGCCAGGGAAATGGGACCATGTTCATGGCCAGCTTCCGCAGGTCAGCATTCAACCGCCTGGGAAGTGCAGGCACGTGGTGACCCCACTCATAGTAGCAGATACCAGGTGATTCAAATCACCATAGGTGAGTCTGGGCAGTTGTAGGGTTCTGGGACAAATATTGTACAGTGCTTCGTTATCAATACAAAAGGTCTCATGTGCATTTTCTATGAGCTGGTGGATTGAGAGGATGGCATTATAGGGCTCCACCACGGCATCTGACACCTTGAGCGAGGGCAGGACGCTGAATGTGTTTATGATCCTGTCTGGGTATTCCTCCTGGATCTTACTGAGTAGAAGGGTACCCATCCCAGACCCAGTCCCCCCACCCAGGGAGTGGGCCAGCTGGAAACCCTGCAGGCAGTCACAGCTCTCAGCTTCCCGCCTCACAGTGTCCATCACTGACTCCATCAGCTCCGTGCCTTCTGTGTAGTACCCCTTGGCCCAGTTGTTCCCGGCCCCACTCTGACCTGTAAGACAGTATAGCCGGTCACTCAATGGCCAGGTATGCGGTCATCAGTGGTCACTGCCACATTGCAAAAAGGGCCAAGAAAGCACCATTCACCCTACAGGTGGAGCAGGTGGACCCCCTCCCCCAAAGTTACAGGACAGCAGCCTCCCGTTAGAAATTAAGTCAGTAAAACACCAAAAGCAATAGCAACAAAAGCCAAAATTGACAAATGGGATCTAATTAAACTAAAGAGCTGCTGCACAGCAGAAGAAACTGTCAGAGTGAGCAGACAACCTACAGAATGGGAGAAGGTTTTTACAATCTATCCTTCTGACAAAGGGCTAATATCCAGAATCTACAAAGAACTTAAGTTTACAAGAAAAAAACAACCCTGTCAAAAAGTGGATAAAGGATATGAATAGACACTTCAAGACATTTATGCAGCCAACAAACATGAAAAAGTGCTCATCACTGGTCAGAGAAATGCAAATCAAAACCACAATGAGCTGTCATCTCACGCCAGCTAGAATGGCAATCATTAAAAAGTCAGGAAACTACAGATGCTGGAGAGGATGTGGAGAAATAGGAACACTTTTACACCGTTGGTGGGAGTGTAAATCAGTCCAACCATTGTGAACGACAGTGTGGCGATTCCTCAAGGATCTAGAGCCAGAAAATACTATTTGACCCAGCAATCCCATTACTGGGTATATACCCAAAGATTATAAGTCATTCTATATAAACACATGCACACGCATGTTTATTGTGGCACTGTTCACAATAGCAAAGACTTGGAACCAACCCAAATGCCCATCAGTGATAGACTGGGTAAAGAATGTGGCACATATACACCATGGAATACTATGCAACCATAAAAAAGGATGAGTTCATGTCCTTTGCAGGGACATGGATGAAGCTGGAAACCATCATTCTCAGCAAACTAACACAAGAACGGAAAACCAAACACTGCATGTTCTCACTCATAAGCGGGAGTTGAACAATGAGAACACATGGACACAGGAAGGGGAACATCACACACTGGGGCCTGTGGGGGGTGGGGGGAAGGGGGGAGGGATAGCATTAGGAGAAATACCTAATGTAGATGACAGGTTTATGGGTGCAGCAAACCACCATGGCACATGCATTCCAGTGTAACAAACCTGCACATGTTCCCCAGAACTTAAAGTATAATTTAAAAAAAAAAAAGAAAGAGAAATTAAGGCAGGAGCCAAACCTGAGACAGCCTAACAACAGACCTCGCTGCAGGTGGCTCCTGCCCATTCCCAAGGAAAGCAGCAGCCACTGTTCCCACTCAGCTCCCTGCAGGGAGATTACATCAGCAGCTGCTCTCCTCTGGCAGACAGCTGGGCCCTCCTCCCAAAGCCCGTTGAGGAGAGGGAGATAGAGCGACTCAGAGGATAAGAGGGTGTTGAGGGGCCCTGGCTCCACAGTTCCCACAGCCATGACCTTGGGGCACTCCTTGACTTTGAGCTACCTGGCTAAGGAGCCGCACCCCAGTCTTTACCCACAACTCACCCAAGATGAAGTTCTCCGGCCTGAAGATCTGGCCGAAGGGCCCGGAGCGCACAGAGTCCAGGGTGCCCGGCTCCAGATCAGTTAGCACAGCGCGGGGCACATACCTGCTACCTGAGCGGGGCGGAAGGGCATCAGCGAGGGGAGGGCCGCTGTGCCCAGGAGGGCAGTGGGGGAAGGACGGGGGTCTCACCGCTGGCCTCATTGTAGTATACGTTGATACGCTTCAGCAGCAGGTCCCTGTCCCCGCGGTAGGTGCCAGCGGAGTCGATGGCATGTTCATCAGAGATCACCTCCCAGAACTGCGAGAGACAAGAGGGGCCAGAAAAGCCAGGACTGAGTCAGCACAGAGAGCAGGAGGCGCCCCAGCCCCTCTCCCACCTCCACCCCCACCCCCAGGCCACCGGGTCCCTGAGGGTCCGCCCTGGCCGCCTGGCCAGGCTCCCAGCTCCACCGGGTCCGGGGCAGGGAGCCCAGGGGCGGCAATGCAGGGGCGCCGCCCCCGCCACTGCCAGCATCTTCCCCGGCCACCCGGCAGGTCCGCGCTGGACCCTCAAGGGCCCCCCCACCGCCAACCTTGGCGCCGATCCGGTTCCCGCACTGCCCCGTCTGCGTGAGCACAATCTCCCTCATGGCCAAGGCGGGACTAGGGTGGCAGGAGAAAAGCGAGAAGGAGGAGCAGACAGACGCGCAATGACAGGGCCCGCGCTCCACCAACGCTGAAATAGCCCCGCGCCCACCTCCCCCAGCCTCGGATTGGGCTCCCAGAATAAGCAACAGCTTTACTTCCACACAGGTGTACCCACCTGTGAATCCCTTGGCGTGTAATGTTTGTTGGAGAGGTCAGGTGACCTTGCCGTGGTCCTTTCCACGTTGGGGAAAGCTGGTCAGCTGGAGAACTTCCTCCCACGTCTTTAGTAAGACTAAATCCCTAGCTGAGCTGAAACTGAATTTTCCTCCCCTGTGGGAGGGGAAGCCTCTTGTTTCCATATTCACAGATTGCCTTTGCACCTGTCCTAGATTGATGACATATTTTCGTAATTGATGAGTCCTTTCATCTATTAGGAGATCTGTGGTTAGGAAAGGCCTCCCATATGACTCAACAGGACTTAATTATAAGTTTTCCTTTGGAGCAGTTCAAACCCTCAGTAAGCTGTGGGTGTCAGGGATAGTCAGGCCTCTGACTTAGCTAGAGTCTTCTTTAGAGTTTGATTAGCCCTTTCACCTTTCCAGAGGACTGTGGCCTCCATGCAGAGTGAAGGTGATATTGGATTCCTAAAGCTGAGGATAGGTGTTGGGATACGTCTGCTGTGAAAGATGGGCCACTGTCACTTTTCAGGCTTTTAGATGACCCAAACTGAGGAATTATTTCTTCTGGTAAACACTTTTTCAGATAGGGTGGGGAATGCCTCGATCTAACCAGCGAAGGTATCAGTGAGCATTAGCAAATATTTGAATCCCCTGCAGAAAGGCTTCTGAGTAAATTAGAGTTGCCAGTCCTCACCTGGATAGGTTCCTTAATGTTGGACAGGTTTAACTGGAGGAGTAAAAAATTGCTGGCTGTTTGGTTATTTCAGCCACAGAGCTTACAGGGCTGAGTCATCTGTTGTAGTGTCTTGAAAAGATTTATCCCCGTAAACGAATGAGACATTAACTGAAATAAAGAATCCTTCTAGGATGAAACGAATCATGAAAGAGCTGAATTATTTTCCTGTGATTGGTACTTGGCATTAGTAATTTATTACCATCAGTCTGCCAGCCAGAGGGGCCCTGGACTAAACTGCAATCCCTGGCCCATTTTAGTTCTTCAGAGAATTCTCACCCAGCTCTATGTATGCTGACCAGCATGCCCATCAGCTTCATTGCCCCTTTCAGTGCGGTGGCCTTGGCTGCCGCATCTGTGAGGGCATTTCCTTTTACATGGTCAGTCTCTCTTTTGATGTCCTCTACAATGAATTATAGTCACTTTTTTTTTTTTTTGGCAGCAAAGCAGCATTCTAACAAACTCAAAACCTGAGTGATGTTGTCTAGAAAAGCCCTTGGTGGTCAGGAGTCCCTACCCATTCCAAATTGCAGCATAAGTATGAAACGCTAAAATATCACACTTGGAATCGGTGTAAATGTTAACTTTTAAATCCCTTCCCAACTGCAGGGCTGTAGTAAGTTCAGTTAACTCAGCTTTTTGAGCTGAGGTTGAGGCCAGCAAGGCTTGTGCCTTCTCTTGTGCTGACTAATAATAGCATATCTAGCCCTCCTGTTTTCCTGATGCATAAAACAACTTGCATTTGTTAACCCCTCTTCCTTGGGATGGGGAAGGGGCTCATCTCTCTTCAGTCTGGCCTGCTAAAATAAATTTGTTTCATAACCTGTGACATGGTTTGGCTGTATCCCCAGTCAAATCTTATGTTCAGTTGTAGCTCCCGTAATCACCATGTGTCATGGGAGGGACCCAGTGGGAGGTAATTGAATCAGGGGGTGGGTCTTTCCCATACTGGCCTCGTGACAGTGAATAAGCCTCATGAGATCTGATGGTTTGTTTTGTTTATTTGTTTGTTTGTTTGTTTTTGAGACACAGTCTTGCTCTATTGCCCAGGCTGGAGTGCAGTGGTACAATCTCAGCTCAGTGCAATCTCTGTCTCCTGGGTTCAAGCAATTCTCCTGTCTCAGCCTCCTGAGTAGCTGGGATTACAGACGCCCACCACCATGCCTAGCTAATTTTTGTATTTTTAGTGGAGACAGGGTTTCACCATGTTGGTCAGGCTGGTCTCAAACTCCTAACTTCAGGTGATCCACCCACCTCGGCCTCCCAGAGTGCTGGGATTACAGCTGATGGTTTTATAAAGGGGAGTTTCCCTACGCAAGCTCTTTTGCCTGCTGCCATGTAAGAGATGTGACTTTGCTCCCCATTTGCCTTCTGCCATGATTTCGAGGCCTCCCCAGCCATGTGGAACTGTGAGTCAATTAAACCTCTTTCCTTTATAAATTACCCAGCCTTAGGTATGTCTTTATTAGCAACATGAGAACAGACTAATACAACCTGTATGCCAGAAAGGCTGGGAGCACCTATGGACTCTGGCAGATAAGTAGCTGGGTTTATGGTTTGGCAGACTTTAAGGGTTATGTCTGGAGTGTCTAGCAATAAGGCCTGATACTTTAATAAATGTTCCCCTATTATCCACTGGTGCCCTTTAGCTTCTAGGACCACCTTCCCTTGGTGTGGGGTCAAAAACCTTTAGGGGCTATTCTAATGTTAGTTTATTAGCTTTGCCTACTAGAAAAGTTATGGCAGCAACAGCTCTAAGACATCCAGGCCACTCTGAGGCCACCTGGTCTATCTGCTTAGAAAAGGAGGCTACTGGCCTTGGAATGTTCCCCAGTTTTGTGATAAGATTACCCAAGGCCTATGCCTTGCTTTTTGGCCACATAAGGAAAAAATGGTTCATCCAACTTGGAGACTCCCAAGGCTGCAGCAGAGCCCAATTTCTCTTTGAGAGTATTGAAGATTTGCTTGCAGTTCTAATTACATTCAAGAATCTCTAAATCTTTCCCTTTTAGTGTATCATATAAAGGCTTGGCTACGTGTGCAGAAGCAGCAATACCCAGCCATCCCCTAGAAAGGCCCACAGTCATTTGTTGGACTGGGACTCTTGGATGACTAAAAGAGTTTTTTTTCTTTCTAGGGATGTTGATCAGTTCCAGAGGTTAAGAGAGATTGCAAGTATTTGAGTCTTTGAGTCAAAATCTGAGCCCTGTATGCGATACCCTATATCTGCTAGTTCCCAGGAAATTTATCAATTTAACAGTATTATTATCCGAATCTTCTTTAGTTGGGCTAGCAATGACCAAGTCATCTACATACTGAATAATTGTGCCCCTTTACAACTGTAGATTTCTTAAGTCCTTAGCTAGAGCATTTTCAAATAAGTGGGGGCTATCCCAGAACCCTTCAGAGAGGACTGTCCAGGTGAGTTTTGAGGCTGAATGAGTATCTGGATCAGTCCATTCAAAGGCAAACATATTGTGAATCTGGATGCATTGAGATGCAGAAAAATGCATCTTTCAGATCTAAGAACGTAAACCAGTTTACTCAGTTACTCAGCACCCCCTGGGACTTGGATAAGGATTGGGGACAATGAGGTGTATGAAGACAACAACTGCATTTATTAATGCTCTAAGATTTCTGAGAAATCTGTACTTGCCATTAGGCTTTTGATCTGGTAACATGGGAGTACTATAAGGAGACTCTCATGGCCTTAATAAGTCATATGGCAAGAATTTGGCAATAAGGGGTTGAATTTCCCCTCATGCTTCTTGCCTTAAAGTGTACTGTCTTTTCTGATGGTGAGGAGCACTAGGCTGAAGTTGGATTTGAATGGGGGAGGTGTTTAGTGTGTTTCCCAGAGCCGGTGTGGCCCAAACCTCGGGATTTACTTGAGACAATACCTCAGGTGGTAAATGTGACAGCTCATCCTTAACTTGTTTTTTCCCCTGAAGGGTCAGGAACAAAAGTAACACTTTCTCTGCTTTATGATCTGTGAAGGTCACCATGGCTTGGTCACCTGAGTCAATAAATCTCTCCCCAGTAAGAGGTCAGCCAACCAGAGGGGTCAATATGAGATGTGAGTGGGGACACAAAGCCTAACCCTATCATGTAGCTATTAATCCCTTTTCAGATGGGTAATTTACAAATATTTTCTCCCATTTTGTGGGTTTTCTCTTCACTCTGTTGATTGTTTCCTTCACTGTTTAAAAAAAAAAAAAAAGCTTTCTGACTTGCTGTAATCCCATTTGTCCATGTTTGCTTTGGTTGTCTGTTTTTATGGGGCATTATTTAAGAAACGTTTGCCCAAACCAATGCCCTAGAGAGTTTCCCCAATGTTTTCTTGTAAAACTTTGATAGTTTGAGTTCTTAGGTTTAAGTCTTTAATCTATTTTAATTTCATTTTTTTAATGTGGCAAAAAATAGGGTTCTAGTTTCATTCTTCTGCCTATGGCTTGCCAGTTTTCCCAGCCCTATTTATTGAAGAAACTGTCTTATTTTTCACTGTATGTTCTTGGCATTTTTGTTGAAAAGTTTACTGTAGGTGTATGGGTTTGTTTCTGGGTTCTCTATTCCATTCCATGTGTCTTTATGTCCGTTTTTATGCTAGTGTCATGATGTTTTAATTACTATAGCTCAGTAGTATAATTTGAAGCCAGGTAATGGGATTCCTCCAGTTTTGATTTATTTACTCAGCATAGCTTTAACTATTATGGTGTTTCGTGGTTCCACATAAATTTCAGAATTCTTTTTTCTATTTCTGTGAGGAATGTCATTGTTATTTTGATAGGGATGGCATGAAATCTATAGATTGCTTTGGATTGTATGGACATTTTAAAAATAGTGATTCTTCCAATCTGTGAACATGGAAATATCTTTCCATTTTTTGTATCCTCTTTCTTTTTTCAGTGTTTTTTGGTTTTAATTGTTGATAACTTTCATTTCTTTGGTTAATTCTCACACATTTTGTTTGTGGCTATTGCAAATAGGATTACTTTTTTGAATTCTTTTTTAGTTTGTTGACTGTTGGCAGATAGAAATCCTACTGATTTGTATATGTTGATTTTGTATTCTGCAAATTTACTCAATTTATTAGTTCTAATAGTTTTTTGGTGGATATATTAGGCCATTGTCACATTGTTATAAAGAAATAATCTGAGACTGGGTAATTTATAAAGAAAAGAGTTTTTATTGGCTCATGGTTCTACAGGCTGTACAGAAAGCATAGCACTGCCTTCTGCTTCTGGGGAAGCCTCTGACAGCTGACAATCAAGGCAAAAGAAATCTGGTGCTTGCACATCACATGGTAAGTGAGAGGGCTGGGGGTAGGGAGTCCTACACACTTTTAAACGACCAGATCTCATGAAAACTTACTATTGTGAGGATAGCACCAAAGGAAATGATACCAAACAGTTCATGGAAATCCTGCCCTCATGATTCAATCACCTCCCCACTAAGCCCACCTCCAACATTGAGGGTTACATTTCAATATGAGATTTTGGTGGGAATACACACCCAAACTATATCATTTTGCCCCTGGCCATTCCAAATCTCATATCCCTCTCATATTTCAAAATACAATCATGACGAAAGGAGGAGCCAAGATGGCCGAATAGGAACAGCTCCGGTCTACAGCTACCAGCGTGAGCGACGCAGAAGACGGGTGATTTCTGCATTTCCATCTGAGGTACCGGGTTCCTCTCACTAGGGAGTGCCAGACAGTGGGCGCAGGCCAGTGGGTGCGCGCACCGTGCATGAGCCGAAGCAGGGCGAGGCATTGCCTCACCTGGGAAGCGCAAGGGGTCAGGGAGTTCCCTTTCCGAGTCAAAGAAAGGGGTGACGGACGCACCTGGAAAATCAGGTCACTCCCACCCGAATATTGCGCTTTTCAGACCGGCTTAAAAAACGGCGCACCACGAGACTATATCCCACACCTGGCTCGGAGGGTCCTACGCCCACGGAATCTCGCTGATTGCTAGCACGGCAGTCTGAGTTCAAACTGCAAGGCGGCAGCGAGGCTGGGGGAGGCGCGCCCGCCATTGCCCAGGCTTGCTTAGGTAAACAAAGCAGCCAGGAAGCTCGAACTGGGTGGAGCCCACCACAGCTCAAGGAGGCCTGCCTGCCTCTGTAGGCTCCACCTCTGGGGGCAGGGCACAGACAAACAAAAAGACAGCAGTAACCTCTGCAGACTTAAGTGTCCCTGTCTGACAGCTTTGAAGAGAGCAGTGGTTCTCCCAGCACGCAGCTGGAGATCTGAGAACGGGCAGACTGCCTCCTCAAGTGGGTCCCTGACCCCTGACCCCCGAGCAGCCTAACTGGGAGGCACCCCCCAGCAGGGGCACACTGACACCTCACACGGCAGGGTATTCCAACAGACCTGCAGCTGAGGGTCCTGTCTGTTAGAAGGAAAACTAACAAACAGAAAGGACATCCACACCGAAAACCCATCTGTACATCACCATCATCAAAGACCAAAAGTAGATAAAACCACAAAGATGGGGAAAAAACAGAACAGAAAAACTGGAAACTCAAAAACACAGAGCGCCTCTCCTCCTCCAAAGGAACGCAGTTCCTCACCAGCAACAGAACACAGCTGGATGGAGAATGACTTTGACGAGCTGAGAGAAGAAGGCTTCAGACGATCAAATTACTCTGAGCTACGGGAGGACATTCAAACCAAAGGCAAAGAAGTTGAAAACTTTGAAAAACATTTAGAAGAATGTATAACTAGAATAACCAATACAGAGAAGTGCTTAAAGGAGCTGATGGAGCTGAAAACCAAGGCTCGAGAACTACGTGAAGAATGCAGAAGCCTCAGGAGCCGATGCGATCAACTGGAAGAAAGGGTATCAGCAATGGAAGATGAAATGAATGAAATGAAGCGAGAAGGGAAGTTTAGAGAAAAAAGAATAAAAAGAAATGAGCAAAGCCTCCAAGAAATATGGGACTATGTGAAAAGACCAAATCTACGTCTGATTGGTGTACCTGAAAGTGATGGGGAGAATGGAACCAGGTTGGAAAACACTCTGCAGGATATTATCCAGGAGAACTTCCCCAATCTAGCAAGGCAGGCCCATGTTCAGATTCAGGAAATACAGGGAACGCCACAAAGATACTCCTCGAGAAGAGCAACTCCAAGACACATAATTGTCAGATTCACCAAAGTTGAAATGAAGGAAAAAATGTTAAGAGCAACCAGAGAGAAAGGTCGGGTTACCCTCAAAGGGAAACCCATCAGACTAACAGCTGATCTCTCGGCAGAAACCCTACAAGCCAGAAGAGAGTGGGGGCCAATATTCAACATTCTTAAAGAAAAGAATTTTCAACCCAGAATTTCATATCCAGCCAAACTAAGCTTCATTAGTGAAGGAGAAATAAAATACTTTATAGACAAGCAAATGCTGAGAGATTTTGTCACCACCAGGCCTGCCCTAAAAGAGCTCCTGAAGGAAGCGCTAAACATGGAAAGGAACAACCGGTACCAGCCGCTGCAAAATCATGCCAAAATGTAAAGACCATCGAGACTAGGAAGAAACTGCATCAACTAACGAGCAAAATCACCAGCTAACATCATAATGACAGGATCAAATTCACACATAACAATATTAACTTTAAATGTAAATGGACTAAATTCTCCAATTAAAAGACACAAACTGGCAAATTGGATAAAGAGTCAAGACCCATCAGTGTGCTGTATTCAGGAAACCCATCTCACGTGCAGAGACACACATAGGCTCAAAATAAAAGGATGGAGGAAGATCTACCAAGCAAATGGAAAACAAAAAAAGGCAGGGGTTGCAATCCTAGTCTCTGATAAAACAGACTTTAAACCAACAAAGATCAAAAGAGACAAAGAAGGCCATTACATAATGGTAAAGGGATCAATTCAACAAGAAGAGCTAACTATCCTAAATATATATGCACCCAATACAGGAGCACCCAGATTCATAAAGCAAGTCCTGAGTGACCTACAAAGAGACTTAGACTCCCACACATTAATAATGGGAGACTTTAACACCCCACTGTCAACATTAGACAGATCAACGAGACAGAAAGTCAACAAGGATACCCAGGAATTGAACTCATCTCTGCACCAAGCGGACCTAATAGACATCTACAGAACTCTCCACCCCAAATCAACAGAATATACATTTTTTTCAGCACCACACCACACCTATTCCAAAATTGACCACATACTTGGAAGTAAAGCTCTCCTCAGCAAATGTAAAAGAACAGAAATTATAACAAACTATCTCTCAGACCACAGTGCAATCAAACTAGAACTCAGGATTAAGAATCTCACTCAAAGCCGCTCAACTACATGGAAACTGAACAACCTGCTCCTGAATGACTACTGGGTACATAACGAAATGAAGGCAGAAATAAAGATGTTCTTTGAAACCAACGAGAACAAAGACACAACATACCAGAATCTCTGGGACACATTCAAAGCAGTGTGTAGAGGGAAATTTATAGCACTAAATGCCCACAAGAGAAAGCAGGAAAGATCCAAAATTGACACCCTAACATCACAATTAAAAGAACTAGAAAAGCAAGAGCAAACACATTCAAAAGCTAGCAGAAGGCAAGAAATAACTAAAATCAGAGCAGAACTGAAGGAAATAGAGACACAAAAAACCC
Organism: Homo sapiens; assembly: GCF_000001405.40. Classification (NCBI taxonomy): domain Eukaryota; kingdom Metazoa; phylum Chordata; class Mammalia; order Primates; family Hominidae; genus Homo; species Homo sapiens. The sequence goes on along the minus strand of NC_000001.11, from coordinate 242,048,536 downwards.
TTCAAAAAATTAATGAATCCAGGAGCTGGTTTTTTGAAAGGATCAACAAAATTGATAGACCGCTAGCAAGACTAATAAAGAAAAAAAGAGAGAAGAATCAAATAGACACAATAAAAAATGATAAAGGGGATATCACCACCGATCCCACAGAAATACAAACTACCATCAGAGAATACTACAAACACCTCTACGCAAATAAACTAGAAAATCTAGAAGAAATGGATACATTCCTCGACACATACACTCTCCCAAGACTAAACCAGGAAGAAGTTGAATCTCTGAATAGACCAATAACAGGAGCTGAAACTGTGGCAATAATCAATAGTTTACCAACCAAAAAGAGTCCAGGACCAGATGGATTCACAGCCGAATTCTACCAGAGGTACAAGGAGGAACTGGTACCATTCCTTCTGAAACTATTCCAATCAATAGAAAAAGAGGGAATCCTCCCTAACTCATTTTATGAGGCCAGCATCATTCTGATACCAAAGCTGGGCAGAGACACAACCAAAAAAGAGAATTTTAGACCAATATCCTTGATGAACATTGATGCAAAAATCCTCAATAAAATACTGGCAAACCAAATCCAGCAACACATCAAAAAGCTTGTCCACCATGATCAAGTGGGCTTCATCCCTGGGATGCAAGGCTGGTTCAATATACGCAAATCAATAAATGTAATCCAGCACATAAACAGAGCCAAAGACAAAAACCACGTGATTATCTCAATAGATGCAGAAAAAGCCTTTGACAAAATTCAACAACCCTTCATGCTAAAAACTCTCAATAAATTAGGTATTGATGGGACGTATTTCAAAATAATAAGAGCTATCTATGACAAACCCACAGCCAATATCATACTGAATGGGCAAAAACTGGAAGCATTCCCTTTGAAAACTGGCACAAGACAGGGATGCCCTCTCTCACCGCTCCTATTCAACATAGTGTTGGAAGTTCTGGCCAGGGCAATTAGGCAGGAAAATGAAATAAAGGGTATTCAGTTAGGAAAAGAGGAAGTCAAATTGTCCCTGTTTGCAGACGACATGATTGTATATCTAGAAAACCCCATTGTCTCAGCCCAAAATCTCCTTAAGCTGATAAGCAACTTCAGCAAAGTCTCAGGATACAAAATCAATGTACAAAAATCACAAGCATTCTTATACACCAACAACAGACAGAGAGCCAAATCATGAGTGAACTCCCATTCACAATTGCTTCAAAGAGAATAAAATACCTAGGAATCCAACTTACAAGGGATGTGAAGGACCTCTTCAAGGAGAACTACAAACCACTGCTCAAGGAAATAAAAGAGGATACAAACAAATGGAAGAACATTCCATGCTCATGGGTAGGAAGAATCAATATCATGAAAATGGCCATACTGCCCAAGGTAATTTACAGATTCAATGCCATCCCCGTCAAGCTACCAATGACTTTCTTCACAGAATTGGAAAAAACTACTTTAAAGTTCATATGGAACCAAAAAAGAGCCCGCATCGCGAAGTCAATCCTAAGCCAAAAGAACAAAGCTGGAGGCATCACACTACCTGACTTCAAACTATACTACAAGGCTACAGTAACCAAAACAGCATGGTACTGGTACCAAAACAGAGATATAGATCAATGGAACAGAACAGAGCCCTCAGAAATAACGTCGCATACCTACAACTATCTGATATTTGACAAACCTGAGAAAAACAAGCAATGGGGAAAGGATTCCCTATTTAATAAATGGTGCTGGGAAAACTGGCTAGCCATATGTAGAAAGCTGAAACTGGATCCCTTCCTTACACCTTATACAAAAATCAATTCAAGATGGATTAAAGATTTAAACGTTAGACCTAAAACCATAAAAACCCTAGAAGAAAACCTAGGCATTACCATTCAGGACATAGGCATGGGCAAGGACTTCATGTCCAAAACACCAAAAGCAATGGCAACAAAAGCCAAAATTGACAAATGGGATCTAATTAAACTCAAGAGCTTCTGCACAGCAAAAGAAACTACCATCAGAGTGAACAGGCAACCTACAAAATGGGAGAAAATTTTCGCAACCTACTCATCTGACAAAGGGCTAATATCCAGAATCTACAATGAACTCAAACAAATTTACAAGAAAAAAACAAACAACCCCATCAAAAAGTGGGCAAAGGACATGAACAGACACTTCTCAAAAGAAGATATTTATGCAGCCAAAAAACACATGAAAAAATGCTCATCAGCACTGGCCATCAGAGAAATGCAAATCAAAACCACTATGAGATACCATCTCACACCAGTTAGAATGGCAATCATTAAAAAGTCAGGAAACAACAGGTGCTGGAGAGGATGTGGAGAAATAGGAACACTTTTACACTGTTGGTGGGACTGTAAACTAGTTCAACCATTGTGGAAGTCAGTGTGGCGATTCCTCAGGGATCTAGAACTAGAAATACCATTTGACCCAGCCATCCCATTACTGGGTATATACCCAAATGACTATAAATCATGCTGCTATAAAGACACATGCACACGTATGTTTATTGCAGCATTATTCACAATAGCAAAGACTTGGAACCAACCCAAATGTCCAACAATGATAGACTGGATTAAGAAAATGTGGCACATATACACCATGGAATACTATGCAGCCATAAAAAATGATGAGTTCATCTCCTTTATAGGGACATGGATGAAATTGGAAATCATCATTCTCAGTAAACTATCGCAAGAACAAAAAACCAAACACCACATATTCTCACTCATAGGTGGGAATTGAACAATGAGATCACATGGACACAGGAAGGGGAATATCACACTCTGGGGACTGTTGTGGGGTGGGGGGAGGGGGAGGGATAGCATTGGGAGATATACCTAATGCTAGATGACGAGTTAGTGGGTGCAGCGCACCAGCATGGCACATGTATACATATGTAACTAACCTGCACAATGTGCACATGTACCCTAAAACTTAAAGTATAATAAAAAAAACAAAACAAACAAACAAACAAAAAATACAATCATGACTTCCTAATAATCCCCAAAGTCTTAACTCATTTCAGCCTTAACTCAAAAGTTGAAAGTCTCATCTAAGACAAAGCTAGTTTCTTCCTCCTATAAGCCTGTAAAACGAAAAACAAGTTAGGTACTTCCAAGATACAAAGGGAGTATAGGCATTGGATAAATACCCCTATTCTAAAAGGAAGCAATCAGCCAAAAGAAAGAGGCCACAGGACCCATGCAAGTCTGAAACCCAGAAGGGCAGTTATTGAATCGTAAGGCTCCAAAATAATTATTTTTTTCTCTATGTCCCATTTCCAGGATACACTAATGCCTTGGAAAGGTCCAACCTTGTGGATCTGCATGGTTCAGCCCCCACAGCTGTTCTCATGGGCTGGTATTGTGTGCCTCTGGTTTTTCTAGGTGCAGGGTGCAAGCTGTAGCTAGATCTACCATTCTGGGGTCTGGAGGACCGTGATTCTCTCCTCACAGATCTACTAGGCCATGCCCCAGTGGGAAGCCTGTGTGGGGACTCTAACCCCACATTTCTTCTCTGCATTGTTTTAGTAGAGGTTCTCCATGAGAGCTCCACCACTGCAGCATGCTTCTGCCTGGACACCCAGGCTTTTGCCTACATCCTTTGAATAAAGGTGGAGGCTCCCAAGTCTCAACTCTTGCATTTTGTACACCCAAAGGCCTAACACCACATGGAAGCTATCAAGGCTTATGGCTTGTACCCTCTGAAGCAGTGACTGGAGCTGTAACTTGGCCAATTTGACCTATACCTGGAGCTGGAGCAGTGGCCAGGATGCAGGGAGCCATGTCCCAAGGCTACCCAAGGCAGCAGGGTCCTGGGCCTGATCCCAGAAACTATTCTCTTCTTTTAGGCCTCAGGGCCTGTGATGGGGGGCTGCCTCTAGATTTCTAAAATGCCTTCAAGTCCTCTTTCCCATTGTCTTGGCTATCAACACTTGCTTTTGTTTAATTACACAAATATCTCTAACAAGTGGTTGTTCCACAGCCTGCTTAAGTTCCTCTCTTATAAAAGCTTTTTATTTTTCTGCCACATGGCTAGGCTGAAAAGTGTTCAAGCTTTTACACTATGGTTCCCTTGTAAATATAAGTTACAGCTTATTTTTTTGCTCTAAGATGTGAGCATAGTTGTTAGAAGCAGTCAGGCCACATCTCGAATGCTTTGCTGCTTAGACATTTCTTCCAACAGAAACCCTATATCACTCTCAAATTCAAACTTTTATGTATCCCTAGGGCATGAAAGCAATTCATCCAACCACTTTGCTAAGACATAACAGGCATGACCTTTGCTTCAGTCCCAATAAGTTTCTAATTTTCATCTGAGACCTCCTCAGCCCAGCCTTCACTATCCAGATCACTATCAGCATTTTGGTCACAGCTATTCAACCAGTCTCTAAGAAAATCTCAACTTTACCTCATTTTTCTATCTTCTTCTGAGCCCTAAAACTCTTTCAATCTCTGCCTGTTTACCCAATTACAAAGCTGATTCCACATTTTCATGTATTCTTATAACAATTTTCTACTCCTTGGTGACAATTTTCTGTATTAAGCCATTTTTGCATCACTATAAATACCTGAGGCTGGGCAATTTATTTTTATTTATTTATTTATTTATTTATTTTTGAGACAGAGTCTCGCTCTGTTGCCCAGGCTGGAGTACAGTGGCGCGATCTCGGCTCACTGCAAGCTCCGACTCCGGGGTTCACGCCATTCTCCTGCCTCAGCCTCCCAAGTAGCTGGGACTACAGGCGCCCGCCACCACACCCAGCTAATTTTTTGTATTTTTAATAGAGACGGGGTTTCACTGTGTTAGCCAGGATGGTCTCGATCTCCTGACCTCGTGATCCGCCCACCTCAGCCTCCCAAAGTGCTGGGATTACAGGTGTGAGCCACCACACCCCGCCGGTAATTTATTTTTAAAAAGGAGGTTTAACTGGCTCATGATTCTACAGGCTGTACAGAAGACACAGCACTGGCATATGCTTCTGGGGAGGCCTCTGGAAGTTTATAATCATGGCAAACGTTGAAGCAGAATCCTGCACATCACAGGGCAAAAAGCAGGAACACAAAACAGAGGGTCGAGTTGTTACACACTTTTAAATGGCCGGATCTTACAGGAACTCACTCATAAATGATTACAGCCATTTATGAGTAATCTACCCTGATGGTTACATCACCTTTCACCAGGCCCAACTCCAACATTGAGAATTACATTTCAATATGAGATTTGGAAGGGGACACACATTCAGACCCCATCAGAGGAGTCTTTATGTTTTTCCAAATATAGGATTATATCATCAGCAAGAAAAAAAGATAATTTGACTCATTTTCCAATTGGGATGCCCTTTATTACTTTCTCTTGTCTGATTGCTCCAGCTAGGACTTTCAGAATTATGTTAGATAACAGTGGTAAAAGTGGATATTCTTGTCATTTTCCAGATTTTCGAGGAAAGTCTTTTAGTTTTTCCCCACTCAGTATGATACTAGCTGTGGGTCTGTCATATATGACTTTTATTATGTTGAGGTATGTTTATTCCATACCCAGTTTTCAAAGGGTTTTTATTATAAAAGAATATTAAATTTTATCAAATTATTTTTAGTATAATTGAAATGATCATATGGATTTTGTCATTCATTCTGTTTATATAATGTATCACATTGATTGATTTGCATGTTGAACCATCCTTGCTTCCCTGGGATAAATCCCACTTGGTCATTATGAATTACCTATTTATGTATTGTTTAATTCAGTTTCCTAGGTTTTTTTGCAAATTTTTGCATCAATAGTCTCAGATATGGGCCTGTAGTTTGCCTTTTTAATGTGTCTTTGTCTGGTTTTGATATCAGGGTAATACTGGCCTCAAAGAATGAGTTTGGAAATGTTCCCTCCTCTATTTTTCAGTCTGGTCCTACAGACTTTTTTTATTAAGGCTTTAATTTTGTTACTTGTTATTGGTCTGTTCAGGTTTTAGATTTTTTCCTAGTTCAATCTTGGTAAGTTGTGTGTATCTAAGAATTCTTTTCCTCTAGGTTTTCTAATTTGTCGGCATACAATTGCTGATAGTAACCACTAATAATCCTTTGATTTTCTGAAGCATTACTTGTAATGTCTCCTTTTTCACCTCTGATTTTATGTATTTGTATCTTCTCTGTTTTTTAGTTAGCCTGTCTAAATATTTGTTAGTTGTTTTACTTTTCAAAACATCCACTTTTTGTTTCATTGATCTTTTGTATTTTTTTATTTCAACTTTATTTCTGCGCTAATCTTTATTATTTCTTTTCTTCTAATTTTGGGTTTGTTTTGGCCTTTTTATTCTAGTTAATTAAGATGTACTGTTAGGTTATTTGAAGTTTTTCTGTTTTTTTATGTAGGCAATTACAATTATACATTTTCATTTTATAATAGTACCTCTTTTACTATATTCTATAGGTTTTGCTATGCTTTGTTTCCATTATCATTTGTTTCAAGATATATTTCTATTTTCTTCTCAACTTTTTTATTGTACATCATATCCTCTACCCAGAGTCAGCCAAACTGTAAGGTTAAGGGCACAGTCCCTGAATTTCAAGTCCACCCAAGACTTCTGACCCAAACCGTAAGGAGTTAGAGTCTGCTAATTGTGCCTCTACCCTCCAGATTTATACATTGAAGCCCAAACACTTTCATGTGATTATATTAGAGATAGGGCATTTAAGGAGATAAGAAAGATTAAATGAGGTCATAAGGGTAAATTCTAGTCAGCTAATTGTTTGTTACCTGCCTGCAATGAGATTTGTAAAGAAATTGAGAGCAATCATTCAGAAACGTTCATAGAAATTTAATATTCTGGCTGGGCACGGAGGCTCACACCTGTAATCACAGCACTTTGGGAGGCTGAGATGGGAGGATCACGAGGTCAGGAGTTTGAGGCCAACCTGGCTAACATGTGAAACCTGTCTCTACTAAAAATACAAAAAATTAGCTGGGCGTGGTGGCAGATGCCTGTAATCCCAGCTACTTGGGAGGTTGAGACATGAGAATTGCTTGAACCCAGGAGGTGGAGGTTGCAGTGAGCCAATATGGCACCACGGCACTCCAGCTTGGGAGACAGAGCAAGACTTTGTCTCAAAAATAATAATAATAATAATAATAATAATAATAAATAAAGCCCCTTTTTCCTAAATTAAAAAAAGGGCACAGTAATCAAGACAGTGTGGTATTTGTGAAGAAACAGACAAAAACATCAATGAAACAGAATAGAGAGCTCAGAAATAGATCCACATAAATAAAGTTAACTAATCTTTAACAAAGGAGCAAAGGCAGTACAGTGGAGAACAGATTGTCTTTTCAACAAATGAAGCTGGAACAATGAACACCCACATGCAAAAGAAAAAAAAAAGAAAACAAAAGAATCTAGACACAGACCTACATTCTTTATAAAACTTAACTCAAAATGAATAATAGGCCTAATTGTAAAATGTAAAACCACAAAAATCCTAGAAGATAATATAGGAGAAAATCTAGATGGCCTTGGTGTTTGGTAACGACTTTTTTTTTTTTTTTTTTTTTTTGAGATGGAGTCTTGCTCTGTCGCCCAGGCTGGAGTGCAGTGATGTGATCTCCGCTCACTGCAACCTCCGCCTCCCGGGTTCAAGTGATTCTCCTGCCTCAGCTTCCCAAGTAGCTGGGATTACAGGCACGTGCCATCATGCCCTGCTAATTTTTCTATTTTTAGTAGAGACGAGGTTTCACCATGTTGGTCAGGCTGGTCTCGAACTCCTGACCTTGTGCTCTGTCTGCCTCGGCCTTCCAAAGTCCTGGGATTACAGGCATGAGCCACCATCCCTGGCCCTTGGTAACGACTTTTTAGACACAATACCAAAATCACAATTCATGAAAGAACTGATAAGCTATACTTTATTATTAAATCAAAATTTTTGCTTTGTGACAGACACTGTCAAGAGAATGAAAAGACAAGTCATAGACTAGAGAAAATATTTGCAAAAGACACATCTGGTAAAAGAATGTCATTCAAAGTATACAAAAAACCCTTAAAACTCAACAATAAGAAATCAGACAGGCGGGGCATGATGGCTTATGTCTGTAATCCCACCACGTTGGGAGGCTGAGGCAGGCGGATCACTTGAAGTCCACTCAAATTGGTGAAACCCCGTCTCTACTAAAAATATAAAAATTAGCCAGAGGTGGTGGCAGGCGCCTGAAATCCCAGCTACTTAGGAGGCTGAGGCATGAGAATTACTTGAACCCGGGAGGTGGAGGTTGCAGTGAGCCTAGATCACACCACTGCACTCCAGCCTGAGCAACAGAGTGAGACTGTCTCTGTCTCAAAAAAGAAGTCAGACAACCCAACTGAAAATCGTGTTGTTACTTTTCAGAAAAAAGAAACGTGCAGAAGACCTTAATAAACACCTCACCAAAGAAGATATACAGGTAGCAAAAAGCATCTGAAAAGATACTCCATATCATATGTCATCAGGGAAATGCAATTGAAAACAGCAATGAACTACCGCTACACACATCTGTTAAACTGACCAAAATCTGGAACAGTGGCAACACCAAATCCTGCGCAGAATGCGGGACAGCAGGAGCTCTCTCATTCATTGTTAGTGGGAATGCAAAATGGTTCAGCTACTTTGGAAGACAGTTTGGCTGTTTCTTAGAAAACTAAATATATTCTTACCATAGGATCCATCAATTGCACTCTTTGGCGTTTACGCAAAGGGTTTGAAAACTTATGTCCACACAACAACCAGCACACGGATGTTTAGAGCAGCTTTGTTCATAATTGCCAAAACTTGGAAACAATCAAGATGTTTTTCAGTAGGTGAATGAAAAAATAAACAGTGGTACACTCACTACTAAAAATAAATGAGTTATACATCCGTGAAAGACATGGAGAAATCCCCCTTTTTTTTTGAGACACAGTTTCACTCTTTTCGCCCGTGGAGAAATCTCTTTTTTTTTTTTTTTTTTTTGAGGTGGGGTCTCTCTGTGTCACCCAGGCTGGAGTGCCGTGGTGCCATCTCAGCTCACTGCAACCTCTGCCTCCTGGATTGAAGTGATTCCCGCACCTCAGCCTCCAGAGTAGCTGGGATTACAGGCATCCACCACCACACCCAGCTAATTTTTTTTTTTTTTTTGTATTTTAATAGAGACGGGGTTTCACCATGTTGGTCAGGCTGGTCTTGAACTCCTGACTTCAAGAGATCCGCCCCCCTCAACCTGCCAAAGTGCTGAGATTACAAATGTGAGCCACCGCACCCGGCCTCCATGGAGAAATCTTAAACTTACATTACAAAGTGAAATAAACAGTCTGAAAACGCTGTATACTGTATGATCCAACTACAAGACGTTCTGCGAAGAGCAAAACTATAGAAACAGTAAAAAAAAATCAGTAGTTGCCATGGATTGGGGGCAGAGAAGGATGAACAGGCCAAGCACAGAGGATTTTTAGGGCATTGAAGCTACTCTGTATAATACCATCATGGTGGGTACATGTCATTCTACATTTGTTAAAACCCATGGAACGTATACCACCAAGAATGAACCGTAATGTAAACTACGGACTTCAGATGACGATGATGTGTCCACGTAGGTTCATGGGTTATAACAAATGTACTACTCTGGTGGGGCACTTTGATAGTGGGGGAGATAATGCACGTGTGGGCGGGAGATACATGGGGAATCTCTGTATCTTCTGCTCAATATCGCCGTGATTCTAAATTTGTCTAAAAAATAAAGTATATTTTACAAAGTAAAAGGCACTGTGCTAAGAGATCTTCAGATATGGGCTGGACACAAATGTGGCAGGGAACTGACAGAGACAACATCATAAGGAGATCCTTGTTACTCAATGTGTGGAGTGTAGACCTGGGGACTTGTTAGAAATAAAGAAACTCAGGCTTCACCCCAGGCTACTAAATCAGAAATCCATGTTTAGGCTGGTCGTGGTGGCTGACGCCTGTAATCCCAGCACTTACACGGTAAGTGCTCAACTTTAGGAGGCCCAGGTAAGCAGACCACCTGAGGTCAGGAGTTCAAGACCAGCCTGGCCAACATGTCAAAATCCCGTCTCTACTAAAAATACAAAAATTAGCTGGGCATCTTGGCGGGAACCTGTAGTCCCAGCTACTCAGGAGGCTGAGGCAGGATAATCGCTTGAACCCGGGAGGCAGAGGTTGCAATGAGCCGAGATCTCACCACTGCACTCCAGCCTGGGCGACAGAGTGAGACGATGTCTCTCAAAAAAAAAAAAAGAAAAGAAAAGAAAAAGAAATCTCTGTTTAAACATCCCCAGGTGTAACAAATGTTACAGTTGGAGAAATAGCACCATGAAAGAATGCTCTTTGAAATTCCCAAACCTAGGATTTTGTGCGTGGATGGAAAAGACACTAGAAAAGGAGATTTGGATTAAATCAGAAGAAACGGTAGGGAATCATCAACTCATTTTTCCTGCCATTCCATGATAAGATTCTAAATTATTTTTCATTTGCATGTATCAGTGGGACTCTGCCATTAGCATAAAAATGCATTTTAATAAACAGTTTCCAAGAATTTATTTATCTCCCAGATAACCTGCTTATGATTCTCTGGAAAGCCTGATAGCAGGAGGTTCTATCTCTCAAGGATACAGATATTGATTGGACTTTCAAAGTCGTTCCACTAACAGGTTTCACTATCATTCATGGCTGAAAAACACATTCATACCTGAAAGAGCCCACATCAAACTGTCAACGTTGTGTACCTCTGAAAGCTGGGAATACAAAAGACAGAGAAGGGAAGAACATTTATTTTCCTTACGCACCTTTGTATTATTTGGCTTATTATAAGAAGTACATATGAGACCGGTCCCTACCACTTCCATACTCCTTAAAAAAACAAAAGCCCCACACCTGTAAGATGCTGGTTAAAGAGAAGAAAGTGCCCACTCTGCTCCTGTGACTTTTCGCATGACATTCTCCATCAGCAGCAACCCAAATTATTATTAGCTATTCTCATGGAAGATTTTTATCTCCACTGCTTAATGCTGTTCAACAGCTGTATACTTACAGTGACTAGAAGACAAATGAGAAAAGAAAGTCTGGTTGTCAGATATGACAAATTCCCACAAGGAATGCCTTTTCCTGTCCATCACCTCTACTCGTTTGGGGTTTGCTACACAGCATGCATGTAGGAAAGGGCATATCTGCTTTGCTATAGGTGCTACAGAAGGTTGAGTCTCCTAAGCATATTAATATTCAAGACTAGGGAAAAGAAGCCTAAAAATACCACTGCAACACATTATATGTCTTGCAAAGTATTTTCACATAGTTTATCTCAGTTGTTCTCATAGCAATCTACAGTGTGTATTTACAGGCAGATATTACTATTAGCATTAGCCTTACTGTTTTCCATATTAAGACCAAGTTAATTAAGAGGAAGAATGTGGGAATTTTTTTTTTTTTTTTGAGACAGAGTCTCGCTCTGTCACCCAGGCTGGAGTGCAGTGGTGCGATCCTGGCTCACTGCAACCTCCGCCTCCCTGGTTCAAGTGGTTCTCCTGCCTCAGCCTCCCAAGTAGCTGGGACTACAGGCGCATGCCACCATACCTGGCTAACTCTTTGTATTTTTAGTAGAGACGGGGTTTCACCATCTTAGCCAGGATGGTCTCAAACTCCTAACCTAGTGATCCACCTGCCTCAGCCTCCCAAAGTGCTGGGATTACAGGCAGAATGTGGGAATTTTATAACACTATTTACTCTTGAGTAAATCATATTCAAAAATATTCAGGTGTGAAATAATAAAAAAATATATATAATTTATCTCACTACAAAACAATCCCATGGTATAAAGTATAGAATAATTGCTTGGCTGGACATGGTGGCTCATGCCTATAAAGGCCATGGTGGGTGGATCACTTGAGGTCAGGAGTTTGAGACCAGCCTGAGCAACATAGCGAGATCCCAACTTAATAAACAACAACAACAACAAATTGCTCCTCTCAACTAAGCACATGCATATGTCAGACACTGCATATGTATTACTGCTAATCTTTACCAGCCAGGCAAACATTATTATCCCCATTTTAGAGATAAAGCAAGTGAGGTTCAGAGTGGTTCAACGCAGTGCCCATGGTTACAATTTGCAATGCTGGATTCAAATCCAGCTTTAACTTCCAAGCCCAAGCTTTGTCCTCTAAAACACGGCTTCCTACCATGACTCCTCTCACTACTAGAAGGATCTGGCACTGCAGGAGGATCCTCTACTAGAAGGATCTGGCACTGCAGGAGGAAACGTCTGTCCCAAATGCTGCTGCATCTCCATCCAGGCTTCAGTGAGATTGAACTATTTCCACCCTCCATTGTCAGAAATTTCATCCTTTGAACAGAACTATCAGATCTCTTTATCTTGTCAAGTTGCAAACAGCTGATACTGAATTCATTTCTTTCCAAACCACAAAACAGGTTCCCAAGGTGGAATTCACATTGAATCTTGAGGTTATACTACATTGATTGTTTTTCACTGCTAATAACTATCCATCCCCTACTCACTGAACTCTTGGCTGCATCAATATTCATTATATTATTTAAAGAAAAAATATTAGAGCAGAAACAATGTATGATGTCTTGCCTGATCACTAACAAAGATGGATGACACAAAGGTCAATACATTAGGGCTGGCAGACAAATGTTGAAATGCACTTGCTTCTGTACTTGGAGTCTTCCCTCTGTAGGGAAGACTAGGATCTGTATGCTACATCCAGGGAGTGGGTCAGCAAAGGAAACCTGTGCTTGGTGAAATACAGATTCTGAACTCTGCTGGTATTGATCAGTGCTGTTCCTGAAAATCCATTATTTAAGAAATGGGAAGTGAGTGAAAGAACTTCCTACCAGGCTGCCCCGACTTCACCCCACCCCCAAAAAATACCTGAAAGTAGAACCTGCAGGATTGATGAGCATTTATGAATTTTCTTTATTTGTGTATTTGTTTGTTTATGATGGTTTGGTTTTGGCGTGTTATTTTGTTTTTGTTTTGTTTTTAAAGAGGGTATCAGACAGGCACAGTGGTTCACACCTGGAATCCCAGCATTTTGAGAGGCTGAGGCTGGTGGATCACTTAAGGCCAGGAGTTTGAGACAAGCCTGGCCAACATAGTGAAACCCCATCTCTACTAAAAGTACAAAATTTAACCAGATGCGGTGGCAGGCGCCTGTACTGCCAGCTACTCAGGAGAGGCATGAAAATTGCTTGAACCTGGGAGGCTGAGGTTGCAGTGAGCTGAGACGGTGTCACTGCACTCCAGCCTGGGCAACAGAGCGAGACTCTGTCAAAAAAAATAAATAAATAAATAAAAATAAAGACAAGGTCTCGCTATGTTCCCTAAGCTGAAGAGCAGTGGCTATTTCACAGTGTTTGTGAATTTTAGACGGGAAATCTAGAAAACCCAAAATGTCAACCCAAATAATTTATGAGAAGAAGCATTACCCCACTGCAGGTAAGGAGTCAAGCATCACAGTGTGGTTATATAGGGAAGGATCCCATGAAATCATCAAAATGAAGCAACAGTACTGAAAATACTTGGGTTTGTGAAACAAAACTCTGACACAAAACAGGCATTCTGTCACAGTGGCAAGAGGATTGACCGTGGATCACCATTCTCCTTGGAAGCTCCCCTGGCTGGTTTTCAGCTGGGTGCCAAATGGTAAGTCAATTCTCTTTGAGCCCCAGTTACTTCATTGTACGGAGGAAACAAAGCATGGGTTACCTGGCATTGAGATCTTGTGAAAATCAAATGAGATGATGCATTTGAAAATTCTAAACAAATGTTATTTATCATAAACTTTAAAAAGGCACAGGGCCAGGAGGGTAGAAAAGTCGCATTCTTTATACAGATGGTGGATGTGAATTTTGCTCTTGATCATGACTTCAGGTGAATGGGGCTAAGGAATGCATTGATGCTGAGTCAGCAGCGGAGAGAGTCCAGAGTATTTAGCCTTTCTCAAAATTGTGCACGTACATGACAAATGTATTATTATTTTTATTATTATTATTTTGAGACGGAATTTCACTCTTGTCACCCAGGCTGGAGTGCAATGGTGCAATCTCGGCTCACAGCAACCTCCACCTCCCAGGTTCAAGTGATTCTCCTGCCTCAGCCTCGTGAGTAGTTGGGATTACAGGTGCATGCCACCATGCACAGCTCATTTTTTTGTATTTTTAGTAGAGACACGTTTTCACCACTTTCGTCAGGCTGGTCTTGAACTCCTGACCACGGGTAATCTGCCTGCATTGGCCTCCCAAAGTGCTGGGATTACAGGCATGAGCCACTGCACCCGGCTGAAGACAAATGTATTATATCAGTAGTTGGAGCCGAAATTTCCCTTGCAGGGCAGTGAACCACTTTTGTTTAGAAAAATACCTTTTTTTCCCTTTTTAAAAAAATTATTTATTTGTTTGTTTTTGTAGAGATGGGGGGGGGGGTCTCACTATGTTGCCCAGGCTGGTCTTGAACTCCTGGCCTCAAGGGATCCTCTGGCCTCAGCCTCCCAAATAATTGGGATCACAGGTGTGAGCCATGGTTCCCAGCCAGGAAAATACCTTAATAAGTAGCACAGAGGTGGGTGGAACCCTGATGACATGGTTCAGCAGAAGTGGAGGCAACAAAAGAGTGCGATAAACTTCTACACGTGGGAAATAAGCAGGAATTTGTGAGTGAGAAGGAGATCTGAGAGACGAGGGCTGAGGCGCACAGAAATTGGCAAGGGCCATGGTTTCAGAAATGGCTGAAGGATTTCCAAAGAGAAATAGCTAACAGTGCGTTTTCAGTTGTTTTTGTTGCTGTAATATAAATCTCTGCAGCCTTCAGTTTTCAGTAAATCACCTACACTCATAAAAGAATGTGCTGAGACAATCCAATTCTGTGAAGCTAGAGCCTAAAGCCAGAGGTGACCTTGAGAGCATAAGCCCTTGGGGAATCGAAGGGAGTCTTGGAGAGCACTTTGAAAGAGGTTGCATCAATTGGGCAAGATAAGGTGACCCCAGCTGACCCCTGAGTTATCACATGCTCCTCTCTCCAGCTCAAGTCAAAACCCTCTGTCATCACAGAGAGACTTTGAAATGCACTGAACAAAATGAAGAAAATGTAATCAAAGTGTTTTATGGACTGCATGCTCATGTACCCCCAAATTCCTATGTTGAAACCCTAACCCCGATGGGATGGTATTAGGAAGTGGGGGCTTTGGAAGATGATTAGGGTTAGATGAGGTTATGAGAGTAGAGCCCCCTTGGTTTGGAGAGATTAGAGCGCATGCCTTCTCTGTGTGCATGCACCAAGGAAGGCCACGTGGGGACATAACCAGAATGAGGACTCTCTCTGGAACCCAACCAGTCTGGCACCCTGACCTTGGTCTTCCAGCCTCTAATTTTTTTTTTTAATTGAAAGTTTGGGGGAGGAGGAGGAGGAATGAGGAGTTAAGGAAGATGTGCACATTTCTTTTTTCTTTGTTCGAGATGGAGTTTTGCTCTGTCACCCAGGCTGGAGTACAGTGGTGTGATCTTGGCTCACTGCAACCTCTGTCTCCTGGGTTCAAGCAATTCTCTTGCCTCGGCCTCACGAATAACTGGGATTACAGGCACCCAACACCATGTCTGGCTAATTTTTGTATTTTAGTAGAGACAAGATTTCACCATGTTGGCCAGGCTGGTCTTGAACTCCCAACCTCAGGTTGATCTGCCTGCCTCAGCCTCCCAAAGTGCTGGGATTATAGGCATGAGCCACTGCGCCCGGCCCGAGCCTCTAGAACTGTGAGAAATTCAATGTCTGTTGTGTAAACCACCCAGTTTAAGATCTTTGTTATAGCAGCCCAGACTGACTAAGACACAGAGCCAGAAAAAAAGTGAACCCCAAACAAGAGTTTAGGACAAAGTCGCTACATACTTCACAAGGTTGGATTAGGAGCAGTGCTGCAACCTCAATGATCCTGGGTGGTTAGACTGCACCTGTTCTCCACAGTACCATTTCAAACCTTTTCTGCTCTCCTAAAATTCTAAGCCCACCTCTTCATCTCACTCATGCCGAGGCCAATGCCCATCAGGGTACTGGACTCTGTCCATCGTCCTCGTGTGCCTTAAATGTTTGCCTCATCTCTCCTCTGTCTTCATCCTCTTCCTCTCCACTGACTCCGCCTTTGGCATTTAAACATACACAGATTCATTTCACTTCTCAACTCCATCTTCTGTCTATTGATTACCCTAGCGCATCTCTTCATTTTCCAGCCAAATTTGTAAAGACACCCTTCCTCACCATCCCCTAGCTTCTCAAGCCACTATAATGTGGCTTTCCAATCTTGGCCACTCCACTGAGACTGCTGGCACTGGTTTCACAAAACACCTCCCTTTTTAAGGCTTTATCTTACTTAAATTATTGTTGGCATCGACAAAATCCACTACTCTCTCCTTTGAAACACTCTGTTCTCTTGGTTTATCTTGCTTCCGATCCGCTACACAGGTGCCTGGATTTCTTCCTGGCGCTGTGGTTAATTCGTCTCAGGCTCCCTGCAAGCTGAACTTCCTTTCTCCTAAAGAGGTTGATGTTTCTCAGCGTTCTCCTCGGTGCTCTCCTCCCCTCACCACTCCCCTCCCACTTTGCCCACTCTCTCTAGGCAATATTATATACTGTACTCCCCTGGGTTCAACAATATTTCCAGACCTTCATATTCCACTTCCTTTTGAACATTTTCACTTGGATGTTCCATATTCACCTCAAACCTCCAAAAGTGAATTTCCCTCCCCATCCCTCATAACCTGCTCCTTCTCCTTGGCTCCCTTCCCCATCCCTGCTTAATTGTTGACTTGGAAATGTGCGTAGCAGCCGGGTGCGGTGGCTCACGCCTGTAATCCCGGCACTTTGAAAGGCAGAGGCGGATGGATCGCCTGAGGTCAGGAGCTCGAGACCAGCCTGGCCAACATGGTGAAACCCCATCTCTACTAAAGATACAAAAATCAGCCAGGCGTGGTGGCGCATGCCTGTAATCCCAGCTGTTTAGGAGGCTGAGGCAGGAGAATCGCTTGAGCCCTGGAGGCAGAGGTTGCAGTGAGCCAAGATCTCACCATTGCACTCCAGCCTGAGTGACAGAGCGAAACTCTGTCTAGGAAAAAAAAAAGAGAGAGAGAGAGAGAGAGAGAATAAATATGCATATCTGCCTCCACCCCTCATTCCTCCTCCTCCCCCAAACTTTTTTTTTTTTTTTGAGACGGAGTCTCGCTCTGTCGCCCAGGCTGGACTGCAGTGGCGCGATCTTGGCTCACTGCAAGCTCCGCCTCCCGGGTTCACGCCATTCTCCTGCCTCAGCCTCTTGAGTAGCTGAGACTACAGGCGCCCGCCACCACGCCCGGCTAATTTTTTGTATTTTTAGTAGAGACGGGGTTTCACCGTGTTAGCCAGGATGGTCTCGTCTCCTGACCTCATGATCCGCCCGCCTCGGCCTCCCAAAGTGCTGGGAGTACAGGCGTGAGCCACCGCGCCCGGCCCAAACTTCCAATCAGTCATTAAGTTCTATTGATCCTCCTATCTCAAATTACCTCAATCTCCTCACTTCTCTTCTTAACTACGTCTACAACCATAGTGTAATTCCACCATCATCCATCACCCAGATTATTCCAATACTTTCTTAACTGGCCCCATGCCCCTGGCCTTACCTTCAAATTAATTCTCCAGGGCCGGGCGCGGTGGCTCACGTCTGTAATCCCAGCACTTTGGGAGGCCGAGGCAGGCGGATCATGAGGTCAGGAGATCGACACCATCCTGGCTAACAGGGTGAAACCCCGTCTCTACTAAAAAATACAAAAAATTAGCCGGGCGAGGTGGCGGGCGCCTGTAGTCCCAGCTACTCGGGAGGCTGAGGCAGGAGAATGGTGCGAACCCAGGAGGCGGAGGCTGCAGTGAGCCGAGATTGCGCTACTGCACTCCAGCCTGGGCGACAGAGCGAGACTCTGTATCAAAAAAAAAAAAAAAAAATTAATTCTCCATACCACAGCCATTATGAACTTTTCTAAACAACTCCCTTGCTTAAAGCCTTCAGTGGTCCCTTAAGCTGCCCAGGAATAAATATTAGACCCTAACATGTCTTCCAAGTCCATTCCAGATCTGGCCTCTGCAGCCTCTCCTGTCTCTTCCTACTCCACTTCATTCTTTACCCATCAAATGTGTCTTATTCCTTCTTGGATCTCCATTACCAGGTTCATAGTCAGCCTATGACTAACACTACCAGGTCTGATCATGAGACACCCTTGATTCAATCCCTTCCTGCTCAGTCAGGCAAATGGACTTTAAGTGTATTGGTGTCCTGTGGCTGCTGTAACCAAGTACCACAAATTGAGTGGCTTAATCAACAAAAATGGATTCTCTCACAATTATGGAAGCCAGAAGTTCAAAATCAAGGTATTGGCAGGGTAAGTTCCTGCCAGAGCCGCAAAGGGTGATTCAGTTCCATGTCCCTCTCCTAGTTTTGGGGCATCACCAATGCTTGGTCTTCCTTGGCTTGTGGACACATAACCTCCATCTCTGCTTCTGTCTTCAGACAGGCTTTCCCCTACCTCTCTGTGCCTCCTTTCTCTTACAAGGACACCCTTCACTGGATTTATGGCCCTTCTAATCCAGGATGACCTCAGCTCAGGATCCTTACTTAATCGTATCTGTGACGATGTTTATTCCTGGGCAAGTTACTGAACCTAGGAAAATATAAAAAATAAAAAACATTTTAAAAATAAGGTCAGGTGTGGTAAATCATGCCTATAATCCCAGCACTTTGGGAGGCCAAGGTGGGTGGATGGGTTGAGCCCCGACTTCAAGACCAGCCTGGACAACGTGGAAAAACCCCATCTCTACAGAAAATAGAAAAATTAGCTGGGCATGGTGGCACACGCCTGTAGTCTCAGCTACTCGGGAGGCTGACGGAGGCTGAGGTGGGAGGATCACCTGAGCCTGGGGAGGTCGAGGCTGCAGTGAGCCATGATTGTGCCACTGCACTCCACCATGAGCAAGAGAGTGAGACTCTGTCTCAAAAACAAAAAATTTAAAAAAGAAATAAAATAAAAAAATAAAAGACGCTTATTGTAAATAAGATCACATTCTGAAGTTCTGGAGGGACATATCTTCTAGGGGTTACACCATCCAACCCACATTACAGGATGGTTTGGGGAAAATGTTTTATGCCCACATACCTCCTGAATGCCTTTACTCAGTATTTCTTGATGTCTAAAATTCTTAAAAATCTTTGTTAGTTTGGCGAAAATAGTCTTAATTTTAAAACTTGCATTTGTTTTATTGTTAATGAAGTTGCATATATTTTATTGCCTACTAACCATTTTATTCCATCTGTAAATTATCTTTTCATATGCTCGGCATTTTTAGAGAGTCTTAATATCTTTCTTATAAGTAAGTGCAGGATCTTTATATAGTAAAGCTATTAGTATTTGTGGCAATTTTCCATAGTTTGTAGTTTATCTCCCCTTTCTATTTTGTTTCTTCTACGAAAGATCTTAGAAATTATTCATGTTGGCTGGGGACAGTGGTTCACGCCTGTAATCCCAGCACTTTGGGAGCACTTTGGAAGGCTGAGGCAGGAGCATCACTTAAGCCCAGGAATTCAAGACTAGCCTGAGCAACAAAGTGAGACCCCATCTCTATTTATTAAATTAAAAAAAGAAATTATTCAGCCGGGCCCAGTGGCTCAAGCCTGTAATCTCAGCACTTTGGGAGGCCGAGGTGGGTGGATCACCTGAGATCAGGAGTTTGAGACCAGCCTGGCCAACATGGTGAAACCCTGTCTCTAATAAAAATACAAAAAATTAGCTGGACATGGTGGTGGGCACCTGTAATCCCAGCTACTCGGGAGGCTAAGGCAGGAGAATCACTTGAACCTGGGGGGAGGAGGTTACAGTGAGCCAAGATCGCGCCACTGTACTCCTGGGCGACAAGAGCAAAACTTGCCTCAAACAAACAAACAAACAAACCAAAACAAAAAAACCAGAAAATATAGAGGGATCATGTTAATACTGGACAGTGAGCTCAGAGGTCTCCTGATAGGCAGTAATCCATAAGCTAACTGCTCCAAAAGCTTTATATTTTTCTGTAATATGTTTTTGTGTTAGTATATTTTAGAAAACTTGGCCAAGTGTAAGTAAACAGCCAGTCCGGGCATGGTGGCTCATGCCTGTAATCCTACCATATTGGGAGGCTGAGATGGGAAGGTCACTTGCGGCCAGGAGTTTGAGACTGGCCTGGTCAATGTAGCAAGACCCCATCTCTATTTTATATTTTAAAAATATAAATAAATAAATGGCCATAAGACCCATTTCTGAAGCTGACAGTGAGATGATACTCTCAAGCTTGGGAGAATTAAAAATAAAATCTTACTCTAAAAATGCAATTTATTTATTTATTTATTATTTGAGACAGTCTTGGTCTGTCACGCAGGCTAGAATGCAGTGGTTCCATTTTGGCTCACTGCAACTTCTGCCTTCCGGTTTCAAGTGATTCTCCTCCTTCAGTCTCCTGAGTAGCTAGGATTATAGGTGTGCACCACCACGCCCAGTCAAGAAATGCAATTTATGGCAATCTTGCAGATCTTCCTATTTGTAAAAAATGTTTTACCAATCCTACCTATTGAGACCCTCAGACAGGCCACTGGGTCTTTTTTATAGATCTGAAAGGACCTGTTGTACTGTTGCTGCAATAGCCTAAAATACAGAGAACCATTGTGGTTAATAGCATGATATTGAGTGGCCCTTCAGGTGAACAAAATTCAATACTGGCTTTCACACTATTGAGACATGCAGACTTGGGCATGCCCCTTATTTTCTATGAGCTTTGGTTTATTTGTTTATAAGACAGAAGTCGTAACTTTCCTCCCGGTGGTGATGTGAAGATTAAATGAGATGATGGGCTAGGCAAAGTGGCTCACGTCTGTAATCTCAGCACTTTGGGAAGCCAAGGCGGGATGATCACTTGAACCTAGGAGTTCAAGACCAGCATGGGCAACATGGTGAGAGCCCGTTTCGACAAAAACAACAACAATGAAAACATGTATCTATAAAGGTAAATGAGATGATGTTTATGACAGCGCCTACATAGGTCATCAAGTTCAATAAATGTTAGTTCCTGTCCCCTTCCCCTCACTGGGGCCAGATGTACACACCAACATGAAGGGTTTATGATAGACGATCCCTTCCAACTCAGAAACTTTTAACATACAACTAAAATCAGTATTGGTAAGGCTGCAGGAGAAACATCGCAGAAGTTTATGTTGGGGCAACCTTTCTGGGCAGCTGCTGTATCAATGGGTTTAACATGCAAGTTCCTTTTGACCTAATGATTCAGTTCCACGAATTTAGCTGATGGAAATTATTTGGATTGCTAGTAAAAATTTATCAAAATGTTGATCACAGTGTTGTTTTTAATCAAGAGACTAAAAAAGCCACTCTGATCATAGAGTGATGATTAAATAAACTGTGGAATCTCTAGGCCACCTGTATAATAGATACTGTTTTAAAAAATATTATCAACATAGAAAAATCAGTCAGGCGTGGTGGCTCACGCCTGTAATCCCAACACTTTGGGAGGCTGAGGGGGGAGGATTGCTTGAGCCCAGGAGTTTGAAACGTTGTCTCTAGAAAAATTAGCTAGGCAGGGTGGCATGGGCCAAGTAGTCCCAACTACTTAGAGAGGCTGAGGTAAGAGGATTGCCTGAGCCCAGGAGGCCAAGGCTGCCGTGATCTCTGCTCCTGCCTCTGCACTCCAGCCAGGGTGACAGAGCAAGACTTTGTCTCAAAAAAATAAAAATTAAAAATAAATAGAATTTAAAAAAAGAAAAATATTCATAGCATACTGTTTATCAGAAACTAAAAGGAAATTAAATGTAATATATGCCTTGTGATCTTAGTTTTGTTACATTAAAATAAACATCTTTGTGCAGAGGCAAAAGATTACACACAAAAAACTCTAATGCTGGTTGTTTCTAGATAGTAGTTTGGATATTATTTCTTTTCTTTTTTTTTTTTTTGAGACAGAGTCTCGCTCTGTCACCCAGGCTGGAGTGCAGTGGGGCAATCTCAGCTCAGTGCAACCTCCACCGCCCGGGTTCAAGCGATTGTCCTGCCTCAACTTCCCAAGTAGCTGGGACTACAGGCGCCTGCCGCCACACCTGGCTAATTTTTGTATTTTTAGTAGAGATGGGTTTCACCATGTTGGTCAGGCTGGTCTTCAACTCCTGACCTCATGATCTGCCCGTCTCGGCCCCCACAAAGTGCTGGGATTACAGGCATGAGCCACCGCACCCACCTGGACATTATTTCTAAAAGGTTTTTTATGATAGACGTATATTGCTTTTGTGAAGAAGAAAGTCACAGGATCTATTTTTAAGTCTTTGCAAAAATGAAATGAAAAATTATTTCATAGTCATTAAGTGATACGTGACGTTAGTCTAGTCTTCTCCATTAAAGTAATCAGCGGTGTTCCGCAGGAACCCAAACCACTTAGGCAGAAGGTCTGATGCAACACTGGCGAGTTCCCGCGCTTCACAGCGGAAGAAGGAATTGTGTGGGCTTTGATCTATTAGTTCACTGTAGAAAATGCTGTGTTCCCTAGGGGATGTCTGGGCCGGAGAGAAAGGGACTGTGCTCTGGGGCAAAAGCCACCACAGTAGTGACCCTGCCTGGCCCCCACAATGGAAAAGTGCTTTCTGTAGTCTGAAATGAAAGGCGCCCCGTGCATCTCCCCTTAATGGGCTCTGAAAGCCCAGGCTTCGGGAGTTGACAGCATCCACAGCACTAACCTTAATAAACGGACACAGTCAGAGAAACTTAAGCTATCAATAGAGATTATGTGGGTGTTTTGGAGGCAACACAGGTGATGCCCACTCATCCAAGGGCAGCCAACCCCTCACAGTGCCTTGTGACATGCTGTTACCCATTTATTTGGGGTCCCAGAGCCTTATGCATGGAGCTGGTGTTAACTTCCTTCTCATTTTCACAGTTAACTCT
Source organism: Homo sapiens (assembly GCF_000001405.40). Classification (NCBI taxonomy): domain Eukaryota; kingdom Metazoa; phylum Chordata; class Mammalia; order Primates; family Hominidae; genus Homo; species Homo sapiens. The sequence goes on along the minus strand of NC_000001.11, from coordinate 242,025,505 downwards.
CAAATTCCTGGATACTCCCAACGCTAATCTTGGAGACTTCTTTAATCCAATCAGCCCTTCAAGAGCCTATTCACAAGTTATTGTTCTAGAGCCTGAGAATAAAAAGATGAATAATAGGCTGGGCGCGGTAATCCTAGCACTTTGGGAGGCCAAGGCAGGCAGATCACCTGAGGTCGGGAGTTTGAGACCAGCCTGGCCAACATGGAGAAACCCCATCTCTGCTAAAAGAAATACAAAATTAGCCGGGCGTGGTGGCACATGCCTGTAATCATAGCTACTTGGGAGGCTGAGGCAGGAGAATCACTTGAACCCGGGAGGCGGAGGTTGTGGTGAGCTGAGATCGAGCCATTGCCCTCCAGCCTGGGCAACAAGAGCGAAACTTCATCTAAAAAAATAAATAAATAAAATATACTGTCCAGGGAAAGGACATTACACTGATTAATGCACATGAATCTTTGTTACCTGCCTGGTCTGATGTTGTGCAATTTACACATTGGTAATAGCTCATTTGGTCCTCATAACAATCTCAAGTTATTATTTTTCCCACACTGTGGATGAAAAAATGGAGACTGACCAGCCGGGTGCAGTGGCTCACGCCTGTAATCCCAACACTTTGGGAGGCCGAGGCAGGTGGATCACAAGATCAGGAGATCAAGACCATCCTGGCTAACACGGTGAAACCCCATCTCTACTAAAAAATACAAAAAGTTAGCCGGGTGTGGTGGCACATGCCTGTGGTCCCAACTACTTGGGAGGCTGAGGCAGGAGAATCACTTGAACCCAGGAGGCAGAGGTTGCAGTCAGCTGAGATCGTGCCACTGCACTCCATCCTGGGTGACAGAGTCAGACTCCATCTCAAAAAAAAATAAAGAAAAAGAAAATGGGCACTGACAAAGGTGAAGTTACTGCTCAAGATTATGCAGATAAGAGGTGGAGGAGGCAGTGTTGATAGTCAGGCTTATCTGACTTCTGCGTGTGACACTGGAGGAGGCAGCAAGGCAGCCTGCCAGAGAACTGCAAAGGCAGGGCTCCCCAAGACTTTAAGGAGCTTTGGGAAGTCCACTCAACTGAGAAATGAGGGAGAAGGGAGTTAAAGGAAATAAACTACATTTATTTACTATTTTATTTTTTATTATAGTCAGGTGCAGTGGCTTACACCTGTAATCCAACACTTTAGGAGGCCAAGGTGAGAGGATCGCTTGGGGCCAGGAGTTCAAGACCAGCTAGTCAACATAGCGAGACCCTGTCTCTACAAAAAGAAAAATTTTTTTAAAAATTAGCTGAGCATGGTGGTGAGTGTCTATAGTCCCTGCTACTCACGAACCTGAGGCAGAAGATTGCTTGAGCCCAAAAGTTTAAGGTTGCAGTGAGCTCTGATTGCACCACTGCACTCCAGCCTGGGCAGTAGAGCAAGACCCTGTCTCAAAAAAAGGAAAAGAAAATGCTATCACGTGCTCTCTTTGGCAGCACATATACTAAAATTGGAACGATACAGAGAAGATTAGTATGGCCCCACACAAGGATGACATGCAAATTCATGAAGCGTTATTCCTCAGAGAGCTAAAAGCAGAACTACCATCGACCCAGCAATCCCATTACTGGGTATATACCCAGAAGAATATAAGTCATTGTACCATAAAGACACGTGCATGCAAATGTTCACTGCAGCACTGTTCACAGCAGCAAAGACATGGAATCAACGTAAATGTCCATTAATGGCAGATGGATAAAGAAAATGTGGTGGCTGGGTACGGTGGCTCACGCCTGTAATTCCAGCACTTTAGGAGGCCGAGGCGGGCAGATCACCTGAGGTCAAGAGTTCGAGACCAGCCTGACCAACATGGAGAAACCCTGTCTCTACTAAAAAATACAAAATTAGCCAGGCCTGGTGGAACATACCTGTAATCCCAGCTACTCGGGAGGCTGAGGCAGAAGAATCGCTTGAACCCGGGAAGTGGAGATTGCTGTGAGCCAAGATCATGCCATTGCACTCCAGCCTGGGCACCAAGGGTGAAACTCCATCTCAAAAAAAAAAAAGAAAAGAAAAATGTGGTACAGATACACCATGGAATACTAGGCAGCCATTGAAAAGAATGAGATCATGTCTTTTGTGGAAATGTGGATGGAGCTGGTGGCTATTATCCTCAGCAAACTAGCGAAGAAACAGAAAACCAAATACTGCATGTTCTAGCTTATAAGTGGAGACTAAATGATAAGAACTTGTGAACAAACACAAAGAAGGAAACAATAGACATGGGGGTCTACTTGAGGGTGGAGAGTGGGAGGAGAGAGAGGAGCAGAAAAGATGACTATTGGGTACTGGGCTTAATCCCTGGATGATGAAAGAGTCTGTAGAACAACCTCCATGACACTCGTTTACCTATGCAACAAACCTTCACATGCACCCCCAAACCTAAAAATTAAAAAGAAATGTGGCTGAGCGCAGTGGCTCATGCCTGCAATCCTAGCACTTTGGGAGGCCGAGGCAGATGGATCACCTGAGGTCAGGAGTTCGAGACCAGCCTGGCCAACATGGAGAAACCCCGTCTCTACTAAAAATACAAAAATTAGCCAGGCGTGGTGGTGCACGCCTGTAATCCCAGCTGCTTGGGAGGCTGAGGCAGGAGAATCGCTTGAACCTGGAGGGGCGGAGGTTGTAGTGAGCCAAGATCACACCATTGCACTCCAGCCTGGGCAACAAGAGGGAAACTCCGTCTCAAAAAAACAAAAAAACAAAAAGAATGTAAAAACAGACGATATACCAAAAATAAAATGGCAAAAAAAAGAAATCGCTATCACAATCACCATGTATCTCCCACTGGCTAACCCTGTATTTGACATTTATTTGAGCAAAGTGCTGGAGAATGGAGATACAGTGAAGAGCAAGAAATGAAATTAACTGTAACAAGTGGTTATAAGAACTTAAAATCTTTTGTGTTTAACTTAGGTAGCTATGGTAGGCAGAATAATGGCCCCCAAAGATGTTCACATCCTAATCCCCAAAACTTGTCAATATGTTACATTATGTAGCAAGGGGGAGCTGGGGTCCTAGATGGAATTAGGAATGCTAATCTGGCCAGGCCTGGTAGCTCATGCTTGTAATTCCAGAATTTGGAAGGCTGAGGCAGGAGGATCACTGGAGCCCAGAGTTCGAGACCAGCCTGGGCAACATAGTGAGACCCCATCTCTAAAAATTAAAATAGGCTGGGTGCGGTGGCTCATGCCTGTAATCCCAGCACTTTGGGAGGCTGAGGCAGGTGGATCATAAGGTCAGGAGTTCCAGACCAGCCAGGTCAATAAGGTAAAACCCCGTCTCTACTAAAAGTACAAAAATTAGCCAGGCATGGTGGCAGGTGCCTGTAGTCCCAGCTACTTGGGAGGCTGAGGCAGGAGAATCGCTTGAACCTGGGAGGCGGAGGTTGCAGTGGGCCAAGATCACGCCACTGCACTCCAGCCTGGGTGACAGAGTGAGCCTCTGTCTCAATAAATAAAAAAATCAATGAGTGAATAAATAAAACAAAATAGAGGAATGCTAATCTGCTGACCTTAAAATAGGGAAATGATCCTGGATTATCTGGCTGTGCCTAATGTAATCACAAGGATTCTTAAATGACGAAGAATCATGAGAGTCAGCGAAGGGAATGAGGCCACAGAAGCAGAAGTCAGAGGCTGGAGTGATATGATTGCTGGTCTTGAAGATGAAAAGAGGCCACAAGCCAAGGAATGCAGACAGCCTCTGGAAACTGGAGATGACAAGAAAACAGACTTTCCAGCTGGGCGTGGTGGCTCACGCCTGTAATCCCAGCACTTTGGGAGGCCAAGGTGGGCAGATCACGAGGTCAGGAGTTCGAGACCAGCCTGACCAAAATGGTGAAACCCCGTCTCTACTAAAAATACAAAAACTAGCTGTGTGTGGTGGTACGCACCTGTAATCCCAGCTACTTAGGAGGCTGAGGCAGGAGAATCACTTGAACCTAGGACGCAGAGGTTGCAGTGAGCCAAGATCGTGCCACTGCCCTCCAGCCTGGGCGACAGAGTGAGACTCTGTCTCAAAAAAAAAGAAAAGAAAACAGACTTTCCCCTAGAGCCTCCCGAAGGGGCATAGCCCCACTGACACCTTGATTTTAGCCTGGTGGGGCTCATTGAGACTTCTGATCTCCGGAACTGTAAGAGAATGTGTGTTGTCTCAAGCTGCTAATTTGGGGTGATTTGTTACAGCAGCCATAGGACAATAGCACAGTGGGAGGTCGTGGAAATCTGCCATCAGGCAGTGACTCTTGAACTGAAATCTGATGGAATAGGAGGGAAGGGTCTGACACATTTCGCAGGTAAGGTTGGCACAGCTTGGCCGGGCACGGTGGCTCACACCTGTAATCCCAGCACTTTGGGAGGCCAAGGTGGGCAGATCACGAGATCAGGAGATGGAGACCATCCTGGCTAACACGGTGAAACCCCGTCTCTACTAAAAATACAAAAAATTAGCCGGGCACCGCCGTGGCTGGCACCTGTAGTCCCAGCTACTCGGGAGGCTGAGGCAGGAGAATGGCGTGAACCCGGGAGGCAGAGCTTGCAGTGAGCCGGGATTGCGCCACTGCACTCCAGCCTGGGCAACAGCGAGACTCCGTCTCAAAAAAAAAAAAAAAAAAAAAAAAAAGGTTGGCACAGCTGGAGGAGGCATGTCCTAGGAGAGAGGTGGGTGAGCTCTGTAGGTTTCCAAGCAGGCAGGGCCAGGTAGGCCACATTCAGTATATTGGTCCTCCTTTTTTTTTTTTTTCTAGAGACGGAGTCTTGTTGTGTTGCCCAGGCTGGTCTTGAAATCCTGGCCTCAAGTGATCCTCCTGCCTCAGCCTCCCACAGTGCCGTGATTACAGGAATGAGCTAGCACACCTGGACAATGCTTCTAAAAGCAACAGAGGCTGGGCATGGTGACACACACCTGTAATCCCAGCTACTCAGGAGAGTGAGGCAGGAGAGCCCAGGAATTCGAGATCAGTCTGGGCAACATAGCAAGACCTTATCTCAAAAAAAATTATTTTAATTTAAAAACAAAAGCAATGGGAATCCACTGAAGGACTTAATTTCGAGGATGGCATCAGCAAAATTTTGCTTAATAAAATCGTTAATTTCAGATTAATCCCTACCTCACTACACCTAATTTATCTCACACAGTTCTCAGAATGCAAATTAATATTAACCATAGACAATTAAAAAGGCAAACAGACTGGGAAAATGTCACATGATAAATTCCTAAGTCAACTACAAATTATTTGCACGTTATCCCCAGACATTGTCTCCTCCCATAAAAATGAGTAATTAAAAGTTGACACTAACACCAAGAAAAGTCTGGTTGATACTTTGTTTCAAATGGTTGAGATTAATGAATACAGTAACACAAGATTTGCTTTCATATTAAAATCGAGGTGAAATTTGGAACAACATAGGCCAGGAATTTTCTGTTGACCATCAAGTGTGGTGTGACATCTAGTGGCCAAATTACCAACTTTATTTCTTCCTTCCTGGCTTGATTTAAACATACTAGATACAATGTACCTTGAGGCCAATAAACATTGAGAAACCACTATGTGTTAAAAGTTAAATTGACTGTAGGGAGAGTCAAGTGAAAAATGTGTTGCCTCTGATTCTCTTGGAGCTTGCAGACTCAGTAGAAGGTGGAAAGACAAATATTTAGATATTCTTTTTTTTTTTTTTTTTTTTTAAGAGTCTCGCTCTGTCGCCCAGACTGGAGTGCAGTGTCACGATCTCGGCTCACTGCAACCTCCGCCTCCCAGGTTCACACCATTCTCCTGCCTGTACTAGCTGGGACTACAGGCTCCCACCACCATGCCCGACTAATTTTTTGTATTTTTAGTAGAGACGGGGTTTCACCGTGTTAGCCAGGATGATCTGATCTCTTGACCTTGGATCCACCCGCCTCAGCCTCCCAAAGTGCTGGGTTTTACAGGCGTGAGCCACTGCGCCCGGCCTCGTATTTAGATATTCTAATAGTGGGCAGATGATTGCAGTACTTGCTACGACTCTTTTTCCACCTTCTAGCAGGTGTTAGGCAACCAAATGGAAATGAGGGAGCCCTGGGCTGAAGATACAGATTTGAGATCCGTTAGTGAGCAGGTTACTGTTGAGACTTGAGTGTGGAGGATACACAGGAACGCTTAGCACTGTGACTGATACAGAACAGTTTCTCAACAAATATTCGCTACCATGAAAAAGCATCCAATCAAAAGTGTCAAATGCTGTGATTGCAAGAGGAGGACCCATGGGAGAGTTCCAAGTACTACTTGTATGGAAACGCCTGGGCTTGATAAAACAATAGTGTTAAACCGCAGATGCTAGCCAATACACATTGCATTACAGCTGAATTATGTAAACTTTTGGTGTTTCTAATATTCTAAATTGGGTGCCTTTGTGGAAATTGCTCATCTTCTCGGAGGTACCTGCCTAACTGGTTGAAAGACAAGAACACCACCACCTCTCAGAAATGCCGTGCAGATCAACTGAGACAATGTGTCAAGAACATTTGTAAGAGACCGGGCACAGTGGCTCATGCCTGTAATCCCAACAATTTGGGAGGCTGAAGGGGGCAGATCACTTGAAGTCAGGAGTTCAAGACCAGCCTAACCAACAGTGGCGAAACCTCGTCTCCACTGAAAACACAAAACAATTAGCCAGGTGTGGTGGCGCACGCCTGTAATCCCAGCTAATCAGGAGGCTGAGGTGGGAGGATCACTTGAACCCTGGAAGTGGAGGTTGCAGTGAGCCAAGATTATACCACTGCACTCAAAAAAAAAGGAGAAAGATTTTTAAGCCATAAACTACTATACTCACATGAAGTGTCTGTATTAAGTGAGCAGCCATGAGACTTATTGCACATAAAGGAAATGCTTAAATACATCAAATCATAACCCAAAATGAGGCTACACAGGAAAATCATCTCATTCAAATGTATCAACTTATCAAAAATGGCTTTTTAAACTCTTGTCAATTTTGAGTATTTCTTGCTGAATTTTTAATATATTTTGTAAGTTCAGGCCGGGTGCAGTGGCTCATGCCTATAATCCCAGCACTTTGGGAGGCCTAGTCAGGCAGATCACCTGCGGTCAGGAGTTCGAGACCAGGCTGGCCAACATGGTGAAACCTTGTTTCTACTAAAAATACAAAAAAAAAAAAATTAGCCAGGCATGGTGGCACATGCCTGTAATCTCAGCTACTCGGGAGGCTGACACAGAACAATCACTTGAACCCAGGAGGCAGAGGTTGCAGTGAGCTGAGACTACGCCACTGCACTCCAGCATGGGCGACAAAAAAAAAAAAAAAAAAAAAAAAGTTTGTGTTCTGGAAAAAATAGAAATAATATTTCAAATATTTTAAAAGAAATAAGAACTATCTAGAATTAATTCTATCACATGGAATACCAAATTTTAGGCTGGGAAATGTAATGGAAGTGTTTTATTTCATAACAGAATTTTTGCTTCGAATTTTTACCAATTTGGGGAGAAATTTTTTAAAGCATTAACTTTAACGTTTAGAATTTCATCTTCAGTAACTGAGAATGGAACATTCATGTCAATGCTGTTAAAACCACAGTCAGGAAATTTGTTCAATGTGATCATTTGTCACTTGGTCAATTTGCAGAGTTGGCTCTATTTGCAGTAACTCGATGTAGCCAACATGAGGAACAGCAGAGGGCAACAAAGAGTCAGTAGCCGGGTGGAGGGCGGGGGCACATTTTACCCATTGTGCGTATGTCCAAGCAGCAGTTTGGTCTTCGTGTACCTCAGTAGTAGTTTATTTTATTTATTTTATTTTATTTTATTTTATTTTATTTTATTTTATTTTATTTTATTATTTTATTTTATTTTTGGTAAGCGCATGGCCCCATCACATTTGAAGATAATTCAAATTTTTATTTTTTAAGTGTTTTTGTTTGTTTGTTTTATGACACAAAGTCTCACTCTGTCACCCAGGCTGGAGTGCAGTGCTGCGATCTCGGCTCACTGCAACCTCCGCCTCCTGGGTTCAAGCGATTCTCCTGCCTCAGCCTCCCAAGTAGCTGGGACTACAGGCGCCCGCCACCACGCCCGGCTAATTTTTTGTGTTTTTAGTAGAGATGGGGTTTCACCGTGTTAGCCAGGATGGTCTCGATCTCCTGACCTTATTATCTGCCCACCTTGGCCTCCCAAAGAGCTGGGATTACAGGCGTGAACCACCGTGCCTGGCCTATAATTCAAATTTTTAGTCTAATATATCAGTCCAGGCTGGGCACGGTGGCTCATGCCTATAATCCCAGCACTTTGGGAGGCCCAAATGGGTAGATCACCTGAGGTCAGGAGTTTGAGACCAGCCTGGCCAATATGGTGAAACCCTGTCTCTACTAAAAATACAAAAATTAGCCAGGCATGGTGGCACGTGCCTGTAGTCCCAGCTACTTGGGAGGCTGAGACAGGAGAATTGCTTGAACCAGGGAAGTGGAAATTGCAGTAAATCAAGATCGCACCACTGCACTCCAGCCTGGCAGGCAGAGCACTCTGTCTAAATATATATCCAAAGTAGATTGTGTTAGTAATTTTATTCACCAAAACACCAAAAATCCATATACCAAAGCCAAGACTTTAAAGAGAGAGATTTAAAGGTGGTCTGGCCACCCTTGGATGGTTTTAAGTACATGCTATTCCATGATTTGAATCATTCTGTAATACTCTCCACCCAGGAGAGGAACATTCCCAGCTGTGTAGCTGTGTTCTTGGCTTAAACAGAGCTTCTGAAGCTTGGAAACAAATAACCCAGTTGATGCACAATTGAGAACATAAACAGAGAAGAAATGATCCACTCATACCTTCCCAATGAGGGAAGAGGCTGTATCAAGCACATCTTTGCATATTGCACAATTCTCACTAATTGTTGGTTGAGAGTAAGCCAAATCCATTCATATTTACTGAGCCCATGAGCACATTCAAAGTTAAATATAAATGCACCTGGCAATGCCATAACTACAGAAGATATTTTAGGGTAAAAGATATTGCCTGGAATAAGATCCATGCAAGATTGAAAGGAAACACCAAGAGCATCTAAGATGCAAGGATAAAACTTCAAGGTTTGGAGGAGGAAATTGGAATGGGTGCTGATGGGGCAAGGAGGAGCTGGGATGGAGGGTTTGTTGTGCAGGATGAGACACAGTGTTGGAGGGATTGAGATCAGACCGTGAAGAGTCCTGCCTGGGATTTGCAGTTGACCCTAGGTGTGAGGAGTCATATTTAGGAGTTTTGTTTTTTCCTTAGATTTCTCTGTCCCTCAATTTCCTGTTTCGGGGGCAACAGCTATGTGTGATGAGCAGGGAGATTTATATAGGGATGGCCCAGACTGAGTAGATAGGACATATATCTCTGAATCTCTCCTCTTTACATCTAATCCTTTCCTTGTCGTAGAGAGAATCTTGGAGGCTCCCAGCAAACCGGACAAGGCCAAACAGGACACGCTGATGATGTCAATGACTGAAGAAAAACCCTTTTCTACCCAGGTGCGGTGACTCACACCTGTAATCCCAGCACTATGGGAGGCCAAGTCAAGAGAATCGCTTGAGCCTAGGAGTTCAAGGCCAGCCTGGGCAACATAGCAAGATGCTGTCTCTACAAAAATAAACGTAAAAAAAAAATAAACATTTTCCACAACCTCTCCTGCCTTCCCCTTTTTCTCCATTCCTAAGTTATCTTTCATTCCCCATATCATAGTCTGCAGGTTGAGAAACTCCTTGTTATTTTAGAAAGGGTACACAGGAACAGAAGAGAGTTAGACAGAGGCCAGGTTATGGGGGTCTTTGTCAACTGGAATAACAATATGATATCTAAAGTAACCAGCAGTGCTTTTATTTAAAAATAGTATTTATTTGGCCGGGTGCGGTGGCTCATGCCTGTAATCCCAGCACTCTGGGAGGCCGAGGCGGGCAGATCACGAGGTCAGGAGATGGAGACCATCCTGGCTAACACGGTGAAACCCCGTCTCTACTAAAAATACAAAAAATTAGCCGGGCATGGTGGTGGGTGCCTGTAGTTCCAGCTACTCCGGAGGCTGAGGCAGGAGAATGGCGTGAACCCGGGAGGCGGAGCTTCAGTGAGCCGAGATGGCGCCACCGCACTCCAGCCTGGGTGACAGAGCAAGACTCCGTCTCAAAAAAAAAAAAAAAAAAAAAAAAGCATTTATTTTACCACTAATGGTGAATGATATTGGGGTGGGGTCCATCAGAGATAAAAAGTTTCCTTTCAAAATAAATGTGCCATGTTAAAAAAAAAAATTAAGTAATTTAAGGCAAAACTTTTTTTTTTTTTTTCAGACGGAGTCTTGCTCTGTCACCCAGGCTGGAGTGCAGTGGCGCCATCTCGGCTCACTGTAAGCTCCGCCTCCCGGGTTCACACCATTCTCCTGCCTCAGCCTCCCAAGTAGCTGGGACTGCAGGCACCCACCACCACACCCGGCTAATTTTTTTATATATATATATTTAGTAGAGACGGGGTTTCGCCGTGTTAGCCAGGGTGGTCTCGATCTCCTGACCTCGTGATCCACCCGCCTCGGCCTCCCAAAGTGCTGGGATTACAGGCGTGAGCCACTGCGCCCAGCCAGGAAAAACTATTAATTAATAGTATTACAAGGCTACTGCAGATGCCCTTAGCATAATATAGAAATGATTGAAAGCCATGCCGTATTCCATTCAATCTGCAAATATCACCCAACCACATTCACTCCTTCTCAGGAATTAAATGACCTGCATGTGTTAAAAAAGGGCGGCCAGGCATAGTGGCTTACAGCTGTAACCCTAACACTTTGGGAGGCCGAGGTGGGTGGATCGCTTGCGCTCAGGGATTCGAGACCAGCCTGGGAAACATGGTAAAACCCTGTCTCTACCAAAAACACAAAAGTTGGCCGGGCGTGCTGGTGTGCAACTTTGGTCCCAATTACGTGGGAGGCTGAGTCGGGAGGATCACTGGAGCCTGGGAAGTTGAGGTTGCAGTGAGCTGTGATCATGCCACTGCAGTCCAGCCTGAGCAACAGAGCAAGACCCTGTCTGGGGAGAAAAAAAAAAAAAGCATTTTCCCTCTTTTTCAGTCCTCAGCAAGATTTGAGTGACAGTCCCTCCTTTGAGGCATACACCTTGCTTCCATCACACAGTCTCTGGTTTCACCCCATCTCATTAATTCACTTGTGTCTCATTGGCAGGCTCAGCCTCTTCTCTACCGTCTTTGATGATTAGAATTGCTCTAGGCTCCGACCTAGCTCCCCTCTTTTCTTACTAGATATTTTCTCCCCAGGCATCTCAGCAACACCCATGTCTTCAGCTCTCTTCAACATGAACTCCAGTTGCTTAAGCCATAAACTAAGAGTTATTTCATTCTATGCCGTTGATCTTCTTAAGCCAAACTTCCAACTTTTCTCCACTAAACAATGACAATAGCCCCACCTCCAGTCTATTCTCTGCAGTCCTACCCGAACACGTTTTTCAAACTGCAAATTGAATCCATTCTTCTCTGTTTAGGTGGTTTCAGTGGTTTGCATTGACTTTACAATAAAAATCACACTGTAGGGCCCCTGAGACTTCAGCCCCATTCCACATGGCTTTCCTCCTGGAGGTCCCAGCCACAGTGGCCTCCAGTACTTTCTTCTCTTCACTCTCTCTCTCTCTCTTTTTTTTTTTCCGCTTTAAGAGATGGGGCCTACATTGTCTAGGCTGGCTTTAAACTCCTGGGTTCAGGCAATCATCCCACCTTGGCCTCCTGAGTAGTTGAGACTACAGGCACATGCCAGCACATTGGCTTCTAGCACTTTCTTAAACAAACCATATCCCCTCTTTCCAAAGCTATTACCATTGCCTCAAATACTGCCCTACCCCCTCTTCCCACCTCATGCCATTGCCTTGCTTTGCCTGGTTAACACCATATGACCTCAAATATCATTTTAGGAAAACTTCCTTGACCTTCCTCTACATCAACTAAGTCAGGTTCCCTAAGAAATTCTCTCCCAGCACCACGGGCCCCTCTTCATCACATGTAGCACAGTTGAGTTCCTTTGGTCATTATCTGCTGCCCCACTCAGCTGTAGGCTCCCTGCTTGATGTAAGAGATGCTGTTGGGTTTTTTTTTTTTTTAAGACGGAGTTTCGCTCTTGTCACCCAGGCTGGAGTGCAATGTGCGATCTCGGCTCACTGCAACCTCTGCCCCCCAGGTTCAAGCAATTCTCCTGCCTCTGCCTCCCGAGTAGTCAGGATTACAGGTGCCTGCCACCATGCCCGGCTAATTTTTATATTTTTTTAGTAGAGATGGGGGTTTCACCATGTTGGCCAGGCTGGCCTCGAACTCCCAAACTCAGTGATCCACCCGCCTTGGCCTCCTAAAGTGCTGGTATTACAGGCATGAGCCACTGGGTCCGGCCTAGTTTTTACTTTTCTGTTGTATCCCTATAACATACTAGTACACCTATCACAAGTTAGATACGATAAATATTGGGGAATTAAGAATGAATGAATATTGTTGCCGGGAGCCGTGTCTCGCGTCTGTAATCCTTGGGAGGCCGAGGCAGGTGGATCACCTGAGGTCAGGAGTTTGAGACCAGCCTGGCCAACATGGCAAAACCCCATCTCTACTAAAAATACAAAAATTAGCTGGACGTGGTGGCACACACCTGTAATCCCAGCTACTTGGGGGGCTGCAGCAGGAGAATCGCTTGAACCCGGGCAGTGGAGGTTGCAGTGAGCCGAGATTGTGCCATTGCAATCCAGCCTGGATGACAGAGCAAGACTCTGTCTCAAAAAAAAAAAAAAAAAAGAATTAATATTGTTGTGAAGCCAAAATAATTGTCTCCATTTTTTTAAGAGATGAGACCTTGCTATGCTGCCCAGGCTGGACAATAACTTGTCTTCATTTTTACAGATAGAAAGCAGAAGTTCACTAGCAAGAAAGAAACTCCCAGAATCAGGGAGCTGAGACATGTCTGACTCAGCTTGCATTAAGGCTGTAGCCAAAGCTGATACATTCCCAGGGCTTCAGAGCAGCAGACTCTTGTGAGAGGTCACTGTTGCATCCTTCTCCAACCTCTAAAGGTGCTAGAAGTGGGTTTCCTAGTAGAGAACAGGACTAATGCCCAGTTTCCTCCAGGTCCAGGCAGATCCTGAGCACCACAGATGCTGAAAACAAGAAATGCCTCTGGCTCTTGAAAAAAGCAATTTGACAGCTGGCTACTTCTAGGAAAGCCTGCAGTCCTTCCCCAGCCAGCTTCCAGACTCCTTCACCCAACACATTAGATATTTTCCCCCCTTTTTCTACTTTCCTGTGTCTAAGGGATTACTAAGCCCTTAATGCCTCCTGATGTGAGTGCATCATTCCTCATCCTGGGTTGTGCTGTGGGAGTGGGACGCAAACACCTGCAAGGCTGAGTCACAGAGCGGGAGAAGCTGGGCTTTCTGGCAGTGGATGGCGGGAGCTGGGAAAAAGGCCGCAGCTCATTCCTTCTGGCAGGCAAGGACCTGGAAACAGCCTGTCCGGCCACAGTCTGGGCCACTTGGCCTTCATTTCCAGTGGTGTACCTGTGAGAAAAGTGGTTGGGAGCTGGGTTGTTTGTACTTTGGGGGAATCTTAGGCACATATTCTGTTTTAATAAGAAGTTGGGGGTCCATTCAGCATAAAGAATAGAGGTTTTGTGCATGTAGAGCACTAACCCTGGAGCTGCTAGGGGAATGTTTCAGGAACTATTTTCCTTATGATGGTGATGGTTCTATTTTAAGCCAACTTTAAAAATTCTAGAACAGAGGCCAGGTACGGTGGCTCATGCCTGTAATCCCAGCACTTTGGGAGGCCGAGGAGGGCGGATCACCTGAGGTCAGTAGTTCGGGACCAGCCTGGCCAACATGGTGAAACCCTGTCTCTACTAAAAATACAAAAATTAGCCGGGTGTGGTGGCAGGCACCTATAACCCCAGCTACTTGGGAGGCTGAGGCAGGAGAATTGCTTGAACCCAGGAGGCGGAGGTTGCAGTGAGCCGAGATCATGCCACTGCACTCCAGCCTGGGTGACAGAGCAAGACTACATCTCAAGAAATAATAATAATAAATAAAATAAATAAATAATAGAAATAAAAATAAATTCTAGAATGGAAAGCATTATGTCATAACGGGGTTCAGTGGCATAAAGTCATAGACTCAAATCTCACCAACTGAGTGATCTTGAGCAAATTATTTCAACTCTCTGAGTTTCAGGTGTCTTTTTCTTTTCCAGAAAGATTAAATAAGAAAGTGGAATAATCATATCTCAATACTTAACATGTGTATGTGCTCCATAAAGATTAGTTTCCACCCTTAGCCCAATGATTGTACATGATAAAATTCAACAAATGAAGATAATGACAATGATGGTGAAGACTGTGGGGGATACAGAGTTAGGATGCCCGGATGCCTTGCCCAGAACTGAAACACTGATCGCCCAGCTGTGGATGTGTCGGTGAACTAGGTGGTAAATGGTGGAAGGAAGTCACTGGCGGCTTGAGAATTAAAGAAAAAGTAATTATAAGGACTACAGAGTCACATAGCTATTACCGGGAGTTATTGATGCTTTCCAGAAAGTAAATGAAAGGCTGAAAATAATTAATTGTCAATTCTTTTTTTTTTTTTTTTTTTGAGACAGAGTCTCACTCAGTCACCCAGGCTGGAGTGCAGTGACATGGTATCACCTCACTGCAACCTCCTCCTCCTGGGCTCAAGTGATCCTCCTGCCTCAGCCTCCCAAGTAGGTGAGATTACAGACATGCACCACCACACCCATCTAATTTTTGTATTTTTAGTAGAGACGAGGTTTCACCATGTTGGCCAGGCTGGTCTCAAACTCCTGGCCTCATGTGATCCACCTGCCTCAGCTTCCCAAAGTGCTGGGATTACAGGCATGAGCCACCGCACCCAGCCCTGATCATCAATTCTTTAATTGATGACATCATATTGATCTAATCAATGACATTATGTTGATTTGATCAGATGAGCAAGGAGTAAGACGTCTTTTGGAAGCCTTGGTAAGACACATACACCCTAGAGGTAGGACGTGAAATCCTGAGGGCCTCCTTGGCTGAGACTCATATCCATTATCTATAGGGCAGAAAAAGCTAAGGATTAGGGCCAAAGCACAGTTACAGGAGTGATAGAACACCAAAGAAGGTTGAACTGTCAGTCTAGGCGTGTCTGCTATGCCAAGGTCAGGGCGCTGGTTGGGAAGTATTGGAACCTAAAATTTGGGATGGATAAATCTGGGTCAATGCACTTGAAAATCTGGAACCCCTTGAAAGACCTGGCCTGTTTTTGCTGGGGAAAGATTAGTACTTTTCCTACTTGCCTGAAGATTATGTGGACTCATTTGCCTTCCAAGACAACATATATCCCTGCTTAAGATAAGCCTCACCTCTTCTGCTGGCCATTATGCTAATAACTAGATTTAGGTTATGACATAACCCAGCTGCATAAATTGTGACCTCTAATTGGTTATTAGCATAATGGTCAGCAGGAGAGGTGGTGCCTGTCTTCCTCTCAAAGGAGATGCTGGATAGAGCCAATATGTACCCCCAGGACCCAGAAGAGAACATGAGGACCTGGATTCTGAATGCCCTGGATGGGAGGCAAAAGTGGGGTGGGAAGGCATGGAACATAAAGTAAGGTTAAGGGAGAAATTATGGATATAAGAGCATTTTCCTGGCCGGGTGTGGTGGCTCATGCCTGTAATCCTGGCACTTTGGGAGGCCGAGGAGAGTGGATCACCTGAGTTCAGGAGTTCAAGACCAGCCTGGGCAACATGATGAAACCCTGTCTCTACTAAAAATACAAAAAATTAGCCAGGCATGGTGGCGTGTGCCTGTAATCCCAGCTACTCAGGAGGCTGAGACAGGAGAATCACTTGAACTCGGGAGGCAGAGGTTGCATTGAGCTGAGATCACACCAGAGAGCTCCAGCCTGGGTGACAGAGCAAGACTCCATCTAAAAAAAAAAAAAAAGAGCATTTTCCCATTATATGGACTTTATATCCTGGCAAGGAATTTGGAAGATGCTGCGTTTATGCGAGGGTGGTTCTTGGAAGCTCAGCCAAGCAGCAGCTCCAATTGCAGCTGCTTCTGCCAGATGTAGAATATCTGCTGGCAAATATTAACATAGGCTCAGATGCATGGCATCTGGTTCTTTATCTTGCAAATGCATTCTTTTTCATCCCTATCAAAAAGAACTAAAAACAGTTTGCATTTGCTTGGGACAGATAATTATATGAATTAATGGACTTGCTCCAAAACCATGTTAATTCTCCCATCCTTTGTCATATTTTAGTCCAAAGAAAAATAGATTGTCTGGACAGCCCAAATAACATGGCGTTAATCCACTTTTTTAATGATCATTTGATCTAATCAGATGAGCAAGGAGTGAGAAGTCCATTGGAAGCCTTGGTAAGACACATGCACCCCAGAGGTGGGACATAAATTTTCCAGTGACTCAGGAGGCTGCAAAATCAGTGAAGCTTCAGAGATTCAGTGGTCCGTGCGTGCCAGAACATCCTCTCCAAAGTAATGAAAAAATTATTGCATTACACAACTTCTTTCTTTTTTCTTTTCTTTCTTTTTCTTTTTTTTTTTTTTTTTTTTTTGAGACAGAATCTTGCTCTGTTGCTCAGGCTGGAGTGCAGTGTCACAATCTCAGCTCACTGCAACCTCTGCCTCTGGGTTCAAGTGATTCCTCTGCCTCAGCCTCCCAAGTAGCTGAAACTATAGGCACACGCCACCACGCCTGGCTAATTTTTGTATTTTTAGTAGAGACAGGGTTTCACCATGTTGGCCAGGCTGGTCTTGAACTCCTGACCTCAGGTGATCCACCCTCCTCGGCTTCCCAAAGTGCTGGGATTACAGGTGTGAGCCACCACACCCGGCCACAAAGAAGAAAAGGCAATGCCTGATTGGCTTCTTTGGGTTCTAAAGATAGCCACATTTGAGAATTCTGCTTCAACTCATATTCTAGAGGACACAAAAGTTGCCAGCTTTAAGTTGGGCCAGAGTAGGGAAGAGTTCTGTTGAAAGCACCCCTGCCACTTGTACCCCATGACCAGGCAGACCTTATGGTACAGAGGTAGATATGGTGGGAAAAGACTCTGTGTGGGTCTATGGTCAACTTCAATCTACAAAACACAATGTAGCTCACTAGGGTTCAGAAACGTAGTTATGCCATTTGCAGCAGAGAACGACGTATCTTTCAAAAATTAGTTGACCATGAGCCATTTAGAGACAACGTGGCCAGAACTGGCTGTAATGAACTATATTTTCTCTGACTCGTGAAGTCATTAGAGGCAGCAACACATCCTAAAGTGGAAGTGGTGTTTGTAGGATCAGACATGTGCAAAGCCAAGGGCATGAGTAAACTGCATGATCAGGTGGCCCAGAGCCCCAGGAAATCTACCACTGTTGCACCCATATCCCTTCCTTTGTTCACTACTGGCCATTGTAGGGGAGGGTCGCTTGTGATCAACTGACAGAGGAAGAAAAAGGCTAAACTTAATTTACAGATGAGTAGCTTAGTTGGTGGTGCAAGCCAAAAATGGGCTGCACCTGCACCATGGGTAGCCCTGAGAGACAGTGTTGAGGGGAAATCCTCCCGCTGGGCAGAGCTTTGGGCAGCACATCCAGTGCTTCACTTGGGTACATACAGATTCATGGGCTCTGGCAAATGACTTGATAGTTGGTCAGAGGCTTAAAGAAGAAAAACTTGAAGATCAGGATAGAAAAAAAAAAAAGTCTGGAGAAGGGGCATAAGTATGGATCTGTAGACATAGACATGAAATGTAAACATCTATGTATCACACGTTCATGCCCCACAGAGAACATCCACATGGAGGAGGCACTACAATTTTTCTAGTTGACCGGTTGACTTTGGCCACCATCCCTTACTTCTCCCAAGACTGGAACAAGAAATGAATGAGGGATTATCCATGGTGGCAGGGATAGGGGTTATGCATGAGCTCAGCGGCATGGACCCCAACTCACCAGGCCTGATGTAGCTACACTGTTGCCAAATGTCCAATCAGCAGAGACCAGTGCTGAGGACTTGATATAGCACAATCCTCAAGGAGACAACTCAGTGGTAAGTAGACAAAGTTGGCCTCATTCTACCCCATGGAAGGGGTTGCAATTCATTTTGCATTTAATCAACATGTATTCTGGATATGAGTTTGCCTTTCCTGCTTGCTGGACTTCACAAGCAACATCACTCTGTAGCTGGGCATTTTTCCCTGTTAGCAATTTGCATGCAGATAAATCAATTCAACTTTTATAAGCATGTACTATGCGTCAGGCTCTGCGCTAGCTACTGGGGATGCACAGATGAAGTCTTGCCCTCAGTCATGTAATAGCTATTATGGACTTTTAAAAATCCTGCCTTGGGGTAGGATAGCAAGATTTCCGGTTCTAAAATCATTTCACAAGTTAACTAAGCAGATTTTGAGCTTAAATGACTTCATGATTCTGTGGCTCACTTGGGAATGGGAACCAGAATCATTTATTTTCTTTGATGGCCTGACTCTTAAATAAAATGTTTTTATCCCATGTTGATCAGATCAATAAGTATTACTGGTAAGTAGCATCTTTGTTTGTTTGTTTTTTGAGACAGAGTCTTGCTCTGTCACCCAGACTGGAGTGCAATAGCGCCATCTCAGCTCATTTCAACCTCTGCCTTCCAGCTTCAAGTGATTCTCCTGCCTCAGCCTCCCGAGTAGCTGGGACCACAGGCACATGCCCCCATGCCTGCCTAATTTTAAAATTTTTTTGTAGAGACAGGGTCTTGCTATGTTGCCCAGGCTGGTCTTGAACTCCTGGGCTCAAGCAATCCTTCTGCCTTGGCTTCCCAAAGTGCTGGGATTATAGGCGTTAGCCACCACGCCCAGCCAACCTCTTATTTTAGGTGTACACATTTCACTTCCATGTTGTTAGAGTTCCCAAACTTGTTTCTCCCTATATCAGAAAATGTAGGGAGAAAGGATGAATGACAGCAGTCACAGGAAGCAAACTTGATCTATCCCAGTCACTCCCTGAGCCCCAGACACCCACACTTGCTAAGAGGCAATCTTATTTTTAATCACATTGCAAAAGCTGAGTCACCTTAGGAAACTCCTCAGGAATGATTAAAATCATCCCAGAAAAGCATAGAGAACAAGGAGAGAATTGTGGGGGAACCAGGGCAAAGCCAACATCAAGAGTCAGAAAGGCCACTCGTGGCTCTCAAATCTATACATAGTAAGGGCTGGCTGTAGCGATGGTTGCAAGGACTGGTGATCCTTTCAGAACTTCATCTTAAAGCTCCATTTGCCTATCAAGTCTGTTGCATTTTCACAAGATTGCCTACTACAGATAAGAATGCTGACAAGTTTTGTGACCTTTTTTTTTTTTTTTTTTGAGATGGAGTCTGCTCTGTCACTCAGGCTGGAATGCAATGGCACGATCTCGGCTCACTGCAACCTCCACCTGCCGCATTCAAGCAATTCTCTTGCCTCAGCCTCCCAAGTAGCTGGGACTACAGGCATGTGCCACCATGCCTGGCTAATTTTTTGTATTTTCAGTAAAGAAGGGGTTTCACCATGCTGGGCAGGCTGGTTTCAAACTCCTGACCTCATGATCCACCTGCCTCAGCCTCCCAAAGTGTGCTGGGATTACAGGAGTGAGCCACCACTCCCGGCCTTTTTTTTTTTTGGAAGACATTTCGCTCTTGTTGCCCAGGCTGGAGTGCAATGGTATGATCTCGGCTCACCGCAACCTCCACCTCCCAGGTTCAAGCAATTCTCCTGCCTCAGCCTTCTGAGCAGCTGGGATTACAGGCATGCACCACCACGCCCGGCTAATTTTTGTATTTTTTGTAGAGATGGGTTTTCTCCATGTTGGTCAGGCTGGTCTCAAACTCCTGACCTCAGGTGATCCACCCACCTTAGCCTCCCAAAGTGCTGGGGTTACAGGCGTGAGCCACAGCACCTGGCCAGAAATGAGGACATATCTTAGTCACACATATCAGTTGTCCAATCTTGAGACTGGGTTGTCTTACAGGCCCTAAGGAGAAGTGGTCCTGCAAAGGAGGGAGAGGTAGCAGAAGAGGCCAAGAATAAAGGTCAGAGGACAGGGAGAAGAATCCAAAGAATGTGGTGTCTTGAAATCAGAGAGTTTTCAGAATGAGAAAAGAAAATGTTGGCTGGGTGTGGTGGCTCATGCCTATAAGTAATCCCAACACTTTGAGAGGCCAAGGTGGGAGGATCCCTTGAGGCCAGGAGGTCAAAACAAGCCTAGGAAACATAGCAAGGCCTTTTCTCTACAAAAAGTAAAAAAATTAAGCAAGTGTGGTGGTGCATGCCTGTGGTTCCAGTTACTTGGAAGGCTGAGGTAGAAGGATAGCTTGAGCCCAGGAGGTCGAGGCTGCAATGAGCCATGATTATGCCAAGGCACTCCAGTCTGGGCAACAGAGCGAGATCCTGTTACAAAAAAAAAGACAAAAGGAAAAAAGAAAATGGGCTGGATGCAGTGGCTCAGGCCTGTAATCCCAGTACTTTGGGAGGCCAAGGCAGGAGGATCACTCTCAAGCCCAGGAGTTCGAGACCAGCCTGGGCAACATAGTGAGACCCTTGTCTTAAAAAAAATTTTTTTTGAAAAGGAGAAAATGGCCAATTCCAAATGTTGAAGAATCGAAGATGAAATAATAAGATAACGACTAAAAAGAGTGCTTGTGCGTGTGATTGCTGACCTGCCAGGAGCACTGCATGAGTGTTGGGACAGACTCCAGATGGTAGGAGTTGAAGGATTGAAGAGGTGGTGAGCTAAGTGGAAAGAGCTGGGACAGCCCTTTCAAAAGGTTCCAGGAAGTACAAGCAGAGTGGGCTAGGCTCTGAGCTTCACGAGGCATGAGCGATGTGAGAGAACTCCCATTTATTGAGCTCCAACTGTGTCATCTCATACACATGAGTTTATCACATAGATTTCCTCATTCAATCATCTCACAACTCTATGAGACAACTGAAAACATATCCATTCTGCTAACAAATAATATGAATTTCAAAGAAGTTTGCTTTCTTTTTTGTGTGTGTTTTATTATTTATTTTTGAAATGGTGTCTTGCTCTGTTGCCCAGGCTGGAGTACAGTGGTGCGATCTCGGCTCACTGAAACCTCTGCCTCCTGGGTTCAAGGGATTCTTTTGCCTCAGCCTCCCAAGTAGCTGGGATTACAGGCCCCCACCACCATGCCGGCTAATTTTTATATTTTTAGTAAAGACAGGGTTTCACCTTGTTGGCCAGGCTGGCCTTGGACTCCTGATCTTAAGTGATCCACCCAATTCAGCCTCCCAAGTAGCTGGGATTACAGGCCCCCACCACCATGCCGGCTAATTTTTGTATTTTTAGTAAAGACGGGGTTTCACCTTGTTGGCCAGGCTGGCCTTGGACTCCTGATCTTCAGTGATCCACCCACCTCAGCCTCCCAAAGTGCTGGGATTATAGGCGTGAGACACCAAGCCAACCTATTAGCATTTGTAGTAGAGACAGGGGTCTCACTTTGTTGCCCAGATCAGTCTCAAACTCCTGTCTCAAAGCAATCTTCTCAGTTCAGCCTCCCAAAGTGCTGGGATTACAGGCATGAGCCACTGCACCCGGCCAGTTTTTTGTTTACTAAAATATTAGTAGACTGGACATGGTGGCCCATGCCTGTAATCCCAGCACTTTGGGAGGCTTAGGCAGGATTGCTTGAGCCCAGGAGTATGAGGCCAGCCTAGGCAACATAGGGAGACTCCATCTCTACAAATAATTTAAAAAATTAGCCAGGCACGGTGGTGTGAGCCTATGGTCTCAGCTACTTGGGAGGCTGAGCCAAGAGGATCACCTGAGCCCAGAAGGTTGATGCTGCAGTGAGCTGTGATCATTCCACTGCACTCCAGGCTGGGCAACAGAGTGAGACCCTGTCTCAAAAACACAAAACAAAACAAAAAAGAAATTAAAATATTGATAGACAGACCTCCTGATCCAGCGAGGGCACTCTTGCTCCAGCTGTTCGCCACAGGACTGTTCTTATTTCCTTCCCCATGGTCCATGTAGCATCCATAGTGTGTGGTTTTGGTCACCTCCCAGCCACCTAGGTCTCACTCCACTGCCAGAGGAGCACCAGCCAGGAGCACGATGCCATCAGACGACACACCAGACACTGCTCCCCTCAAAAGATGGCTTTCAACCCCCAAAAAAAGAAAAGAAAAAAAAACTGGCCGGGCACCATGGCTCATGCCTGTAAACCCAGCACTTTGGGAGGCCGAGGCTGGTGGATCACCTGAGGTCGGGAGTTCAAGACCAGCCTACCAACATGGAGAAACCCCGTCTCTACTAAAAATACAAAATTAGCTGGGCGTGGTGGCGCATGCCTGTAATACCAGCTACTTGGGAGGCTGAGGCAAGTGAATCGCTTGAACCTGGAAGGCGGAGGTTGCGGTGAACCGAGATCGTGCCATTGCACTCCAGCCTGGGCAACAAGAGCAAAACTCCGTCTCCCTCCGCCCCCTCCAAAAAAAAAAAAAGAAAAGAAAAGAAAAGGAAAAAACGATCCAGCCCATTCCTCTGCCTGAAAGATGATGCATTCTGGAAGTGTTGCTGCATTTTGTTTTTTCCCAGTGCTTCATTCTATTACCTCCTTCATCTCCATTCCATCTGAGAGGCAAGCCTGCTTGGACTAGATAGCAATCTCCATGCCTCAGCCCAGAAAGTCAAACGCAAGGCAGTTAAGAAGCATCTCAAAGCCCTTATAATCATTGACCAAACACCACAGCTGGGATTGATTTTCTCCTGGCCCCAACTGAGCACTGTTTCCTTCTACCTCTGCCTTCAGCATTCAGACCTCAATGCACATAAGGATTCTTCGGATTATAAAGATTTGGGGGAACCATGGCTTGGGGAAGTGACGGGAAGATACATACACTGAGGAACAGTGGCAGGCACTATGCTAGCTGCTTTACAGAAACCAGTTCATTTAAGCCTCACATAACTATTCTGAGTTACAGATTACCATAACCATTAAAAGCCGTATTTAGTAAAGTGAAGCCATGTATCCAAGATCAGAAATTAAGGTGCATAGGTGGGAGGGCCAGGCTTGGAACCAACTTTGCCTGGTCTTAGAGTCTGGGCTGCCCCTGGAGATTGGCCAATCTGGGTTGGATCCCGGCGCAGTTTGCATTCTGGCTGAATGATCTAGACCACAGCAGTGTGAGCATCCTGCCTGCCCTTCCCACATGCAAGGCAACTGGGAAAGTTTACATGAGATTGCAGATTTGAAAGGTACTTTAGCACAGAGCACTGCACACTTGCTCCTTACTATTCACACCTGACGGGATGCCTTCTTTTTTAAGACAGAGAAAGAGGACGAGGCCACTTATCTCTTCAATGATGCCATCATTTAATCTCTTGACATCTATTTCTTATCATTGAGCTAAAGCCCCAAGAGTCAGGCCCTTCAATTCACCAGCAAATGTACTATCTCCTTCTCCTTTGTCACATTTTGTTCATTTTAATACTCTTCACTGCTGAATGACTACAGAAAATCATGGCATACACTGCTAACAATAAAGGAAATGCAAGCCTTCTGGCCATGCAGTGTCTGAAGGGCTACCTGGATGGGCGTAAGTACCAGGAAGCAACTCCTGGCCGTGGGAACTGGAAGAGCTGTGTCTTGCCCTTCCTAGCCCTTTTGAGTCCAGGCAAGGGATTAATTTCTCAGGCCCTGTGATATTGAGAAATACATGTTTAGTTTTCATTCAATTTCCTGGAATACAAGTTCTAAAAATTCTTGGAATTTTCTTTTTTGTTTGTTTCTGTTTTTTGTTTTTGAGACGAAGTCTCACTCTGTTGCCCAGGCTGGAGTGCAGTGGTGCAATCTCGGCTCACTTCAACCTCCACCTCCTGGGTTCAAGTGATTCTCCTACCTCAGGATTCTGAGTAGCTGGGATTACAGGTACCCACCACCATGCCTGGCAAATTATTGTATTTATAGTGAAGACGGGGGTTTCACCATGATGGCCAAGTGGATCTTGAACTCCTGACCTCAGGTGATCTGCCCACCTCCGCCTCCTAAAGTACTGGGATTACAGGTGTGAGCCACTGCACCTGGTGGAATCCTTGGAATTTTCAAAGTGGTAAGTGTCTTTTTTTATTTTTATTTTTTTCTGAGGTGGAGTCTCGCTCCGTTGCCCAGGCTGGAGTGCAGTGGCACAATCTCAGCTTACTGCAAGCTCCACCTCCCAGGTTCAAGCCATTCTCCTACCTCAGTCTCCCTAGTAGCTGGGATTACAGGCACCCACCACAACGCCCAGCTAATTTTTTTGTATTTTAGTAGAGACAGGGTTTCATGATGTTGGCCAAGCTGGTCTCAAACTCCTGACCTCAAGTGATCCGCCCACCTTGGTCTCCCAAAGTGCTGGGATTACAGGCATGAGCCACCATGCCCGGCAATAAGTGTCTTTTTTTAGTTCATCAGTTGACTGACGGCTAGCAGTCCCTGGGTAGCTTTGGATGGGGGCTGGTCGCCAGAAAGACAAAGGTGAGATTAGAGGGTTGGAATTTTTAGCCCCACCTCCAGCCTCTGGGGAGGGTAGAGGGGTTGAAAGTTAAATTGATTACCAGTGGCCAATGGTTTAATCAATCTTGCTTACATAATGAAGCCTCCGTAAAAACCCAAAAGGCCTAGGTTCTGCTAGCTGAACACGTGGAGGTTCCTGGAGGGTGGTATGCCCTTCCCCCATACCTCGCTATGCATCTCTTCATCTGTACCCTTTGTGATATCCTCTGTAATAAGCCGGTAAAAGTGTTTCCCTGAGTTCTGTGAGTCATTCTAGCCAATTAATGAAACCCAAGGCGGGGGCTGTGGGAAGCCTGACTTATGTCCCATAGATCAGAAGCACAGGGAAAACAAGCTAGGGGCTGGGCGCAGTGGCTCACGCATGAGATCCCAGCTCTTTGGGAGGCCAAGGCAGGAGGATCACAAGGTCAGGAGTTTCAGACCAGCCTAGCCAACATGGCGAAACCCCCTCTCTACTAAAAACACACAAATTAGCCAGGCATGGTGTCATGTGCCTGTAATCCCAGCTACTCGGGAGAAATCGCTTGAACTCAGGAGGCAGAGATTGCAGTGAGCTGAGATCGTGCCACTACATTCCAGCCTGGGCAACAGAGCAAGACTCTGTTTCAAACAAGCAAAAAAACAACAAACACAACTTGGGGCTTGCAATCGGCATTGAAAGTGGGGGACAGTCTTGTGGGACAGAGCCCTCAGCCCGATCTGATGCTGTCTCCAGGTAGACAGTGTCAGAGTTGGATTGGAGGACACCTAGCTGGTGTCCACTGTAGAAGTGATTGCTCGGTGTATGGGGAACCCCCACCCACCCACACACACACACACACATCTAGTGTCAAAAGTGATCTGTGTTGTGAGAATATAGGAGAAATGGAGTTTGGTTTCCCCTATGTATGACCAGAGACCCAGTTTCTTAACTCTAAAAGCAAGATCTTGGGGACAATTGTCCTTCCTTCCTTCTTTTATCCCAGAGAAAACTAAGTGACAGAATATACTGGAGTGTAGTACTTGGACTTCCTTGTAACAACTCTGGGTTTTTTTTGTTTTGTTTTGTTTTGTTTTGAGATGAAGTTTCGCTCTTGTTGCCGAGGCTGGAGTGCAATGGTGTGACCTGAGCTCACTACAACCTCCGCATCCTGGGTTCAAGCGATTCTCTTGCCTCAGCCTCCTGAGTAGGTGGGATTACAGGTGCCAGCCACCACGTCCGGCTAATTTTTGTATTTTTAGTAGAGATGGGGTTTCAGCATGTTGGCCAGGTGATCCACCCGCCTCGGCCTCCCACGTGCTGGGATTACAGGCGTGGGCCACTGCACCCAGTGTACAGCTCTAGGTTTTAATCCATACCGCTTCTCTTACTTGCTGTGTGCCCTCGAGCAAATCACTTCACCTTTCTTAGTATAGGTTTCCTTCTGTGATAAAGGGCATGGACCATTGTGAGAACTACACAGCACACTTCAGGCTGAGGTGGATCCAGCTTGGACCCCCCCTTGCTACTGAAGGGCAAAAACATCCCAGCACAAGGCAGTTTTACCTCTCCACAGTCCGCTGCCCAGCCAATGATTTTATTACAAACCCTAATTTCTTTTGCAAAGAAACATCTTGAACTGGTCATGAACAAAGTGGCTTTCTCTGACCAGCAAGCAGGTGGCGATTCCATTTCCATCAGAACTGACCTCCTGCTGCCCAGGGAGGGGGAGTGGGGAGAGGGGAGGGAGAGGAGAGGCCTGATGTCACTCAGCCCTACATAAGGGCCTCCTTCAGGCTCCTGCAGGCAGTTTGGAAGCAGCTGGAGGAATGAGTTAGGTTCCCGGTTGCGGGACAGTTTTTTTTTCTTTTTTAAAACAGACACAGCTACTGAGTGCAATGCCGCCTCCACAGAAAATCCCAAGCGTCAGACCCTTCAAGCAGAGGAAAAGCTTGGGTAAATTTCTTGGGGTAGCTTTCTGGGTTATCTAAAGAGAGGAGCGGATCTGGCCTTCTCTTGATCTTTGCTTCTTTTCTTGATCTTTGCTTCTTCTCTTGTGCTTGAAATATTCACAGCAATCAGACAAGAGGAAGTTGCTGGAATCCGGGCAAAGTTCCCCAACAAAATCCCGGTAAGACACCACTGGACTTCCGCTGGGGGGCGTGGGGGTGGGGTTCCGATCCTGTTCTCTGAAAAACCAAGAGCAGCCAACAGCTTCCCTCTGTCTGTTCCAAGTTCCTAACACTCACGCTGAGTCACATTCTTAAGGACTGACACTCTTGACAGGTGGTAGTGGAGCGCTACCCCAGGGAGACGTTCCTGCCCCCGCTGGACAAAACCAAGTTCCTGGTCCCGCAGGAGCTGACCATGACCCAGTTCCTCAGCATCATCCGGTAGGTGGCGCAGAGCGTGCCCCGGAGGAAGGTGCGCTGGGTGCGCCGGGGCTGTTGGGCTTTCTTCGTTTGGCAGTTTTATTTTGGGGATGGGGGCACGTCAGGGGAAGAGAGGAAAGAGATTTTTTTGAAGTCACCTTTTAGATTCACTAGTACCCTGAAAAGATGCTCTTAGAATTACTCTATTTTAAACCCCGGGCGGAGTGGCTCATGCCTGTAATCCCAGCACTCTGGGAGGCTGAGGCAGGTGGATCGCAGAGGTCAGGAGTTTGAGACCAGCCTGGCCAACGTGGTGAAACCCTGTCTCTACTAAAAATACAAAAATTAGCTAGGCGTGGTGGCGGGTGCCTGTAATCCTAGCTACTTGGGAGGCTGAGGCAGGAGAATCGCTTGAACCTGGGAGGCGGAGGTTACAGTGAGCCGAGACTGTTCCACTGCACTCCTGGGCAACAAGAGTGAAACTCTGTCTCAAAAAAAAAAAAAAAAAAAAAAGAATTACTCTATTTTAAACAGGTAAGGAGAATCCCTCAGACAACGACAACAACAAAAAAGACCTGCCAACATTTCTAAGAATTTCCTAAAGTAGTTAGTCTTGGCTCTCAAGCTAGGCCGGGAGATCCTTTCTTTCAGATCTTGTGTGAAACCGAGTCTGCGCGTCCGTTGCAGAGACCAGCACCTTTTCCAAGTGTATGTGTGCCTAGGGGTGGGGACTTCTCCCCAAAGGAAACGTTCCCTGCTCAGAACACTGAGAGAGAAAAGCATCCCCCAAACACACTCCTCCCTTGGTTAAGCCAGAGGTACAGCAAAGAACAGGCAGCTATTCTTAAAGCATAAAGGACATCACTTGACACATGGATTCAGTAAAAAATGATTTGGGAGTAAAGTAAATATACCCGATGAGTAAGTTTTCAACAGGGTTGAAAAGTGCTTGGAAGCTGCATCGCTGTTGCAGCCTGTTTTTTTGAGAACACACGATGAATGAGTGTCTTTTTATTTTGCTTTATTTAGCTCTGTCGCCTAGGCTGGAGTGCAGTGGTGTGAACCTAGTTCACTGCAGCCTTGGCCTTCTGGGCTCAGGCGATCCTCCCATCTCAGCCTCCTGAGTAGCTGGGACTACAGGAAAGCACCACCGTGCCCGGCTAATTTTAAAAATGTTCTGTAGAGATGGGGGTCTCACGATGTTGCCCAGGCCTCTTTTTATTTTGTTTTACTGAGTTAAGAGCATTCTGATTTCCTCTCTCTAGGCAAACTTACATGTTAAAGTTAGTTCAGTGTGAATGGAAGATGGCCAAGGGAGAATGAAAGTTAGGATTAGGGCCAGGCGCAGTGGCTCACACTGTAATCCCAGCACTTTGGGAAGCCAAGGCAGGGCAGATTACCTGAGGTCAGGAGTTCAAGAGCAGCCTGGCCAACATGGCAAAACCCCGTCTCTACTAAAAATACAAAAATTACCCAGGTGTGGTGTTGCGTGCCTGTCATCCCAGCTACTTGGGAGGTTGAGGCAGGGGAATCAAAAAAAAAAAGTGAAATATCAGCGAGACTGTGCATCACCTTTGTACTTCTAGGGAAATAGCTTTAATTTCTTTTCTTTTTTTTTTTTTTTTGAGACGCAGTCTTGCTCTGTCACCAGGCTGGAGTACAGTGGCGCAATTTCGGCTCACTGCAACCTCCGCCTCCTGGTTCTCCTGCCTCAGCCTCCCGAGTAGCTGGGACTACAGGTTCACGCCACCACACCCAGCTAATTTTTGTATTTTTAGTACAGACCAGGTTTCACCATGTTGGCCAGGATGGCCTCGATTTCTTGACCTCGTGAGCTGCCTGCCTCAGCTTCCCAAAGTGCTGGGATTAGAGGTGTGAGCCACTGCATCCAGCCCAATAGCTTTAATTTCATAGCAAATGGAAGTTATTTGCTTAGCATTTTTGTGTTGTCATGTTTCCTCAACCTGTTTGTGTTGTCATATTTCATCCATGGAATGGCCTCACCCTTTTGACCCAAATGGGAAGCCTTGTAGTTCCTAAATCTCAGGGAAGAAGAAGGGAGCAATTCAGTCTTCTTGAGTGTCATGAGGCTGCAGATCCCTGGGCTGTCTCGCAGGCCATACCCTCACCACCCTCCTGCCCATCCCAGGAGCCGCATGGTCCTGAGAGCCACGGAAGCCTTTTACTTGCTGGTGAACAACAAGAGCCTGGTCAGCATGAGCGCAACCATGGCAGAGATCTACAGAGACTACAAGGATGAGGATGGCTTCGTGTACATGACCTACGCCTCCCAGGAGACATTTGGCTGCCTGGAGTCAGCAGCCCCCAGGGATGGGAGCAGCCTTGAGGACAGACCCTGCAATCCTCTCTAGCCCATGTCGGGAAGGATGTGTGCTCTGACAGACGTGTCAGATGCTGGCAGAAGGGATTGGTTTTCTCCTGTGTATACAGTGGAGGAGTCTGAGAAGCAGGGATGCCTGGGGTGATCAGCTCCAACCAGTGGCAGCAGAGTGGTGGCTCTTCCTAGTTTAGTTTTTGTGCTCCGTGTTCTTGTGTCCTTCTAAGAAAAATGTGGGCTGCTCTTGAAAGTTATATAATTATCATTTTTTTTTTTTTGAAACAGGGTCTTGCTCTATTGCCTAGGCTGGAGCACAGTGGCATGATCTTGGCTCACTGCAACCTCCGCCTCCTGGGTTCAAGTGATTCTTCTGCCTCCACCCCCCGAGTGGCTGGTATTACAAGCACATGCCACCACACCAGGCTAATTTTTGTATTTTTAGTAGAGACGGGGTTTCACCATGTTGGCCAGGCTGGTCTCGAACTCCTGACCTCAGGTGATCCACCCACCTCGGCCTCCCAAAGTGCTGGGATTACAGGCGTGAGCCACTGCATCCAGCCATATAACCGTATTCTAAATAAGAAATGGTTGGCTTGTGTGATGGTTTTGTGTAATGAGCTAGAGATAATATTTTAAGTGTCTTCTGTGGTATATGTGGGAGGGCCATTAAGGAGTGGGTTTCACTCCCTGCATGTGGGCAGGTGTCCCATCTAGGGCTCGGTACTAGAGAATCTCTGGCCTGTAGGCTGTCTCTGTGGAACCCAGTGAAGCCAGCGTGAACAATGGTAAGCTCATCTGGAGGTGCTCTTATCTGTGTCATTAGAGAGATTATTCGATTTCCCCAGCATTCACTCTATTTAGTTATTTTCTGTCATTCTCTTTTTGTCTTTCTATACCATACATATTTATGCCAAAGCTGTAACTTCTCAACATGAAGTCATTTAAACCATGTGCATGTTTACTATGTGCCAAGCTGTATTCTAAAATAAATATTCTTTATTTTAAAGGAGCTTTATTCTTTGGCTTCTTATCACAACTCTCTATGGCTAACTACTGTTACAGTTAACCCACACAATGGGTGGGTTTGATCGCTTGGTGGGTGACGGTCCAATGACTACTCCCAAGGAGGATTTAAAAAGGGGATTTTATTAATTCTAACACGTAAGGAGGACACTGGGGATAGTTCCCAAAGCAGTGCCTCCCTGAACAAAAGTGAATGCAGGGCATTTATTGGGCAGAGGTGGAGTCAAGGAGTACAGGCGCAGTCACCGGCCATGCTTCCACATATGTTGCCTGTGTATAAAATAGTGAATAAGCTTCTCCCTAGGAGGAGATTTTTTTTCCCCCATTAATGAGCTTTCTATTATTATCTTTTTTTTTTTTTTTTTGAGACAGAGTCTCGCTCTGTCACCCAGGCTGCAGTGCAGTGGTGCTATCTCAGCTCACTGCAACCTCCGCCTCCTGGCTTCAAGCGATTCTCCTGCCTCAGCTTCCCCAGTAGCTGGGATTACAGGCATGCGCCACCACGCCCAGCTAATTTTGTATTTTTTGTAGAGTTTTTGTATTTTTAGTAGAGTTTCTCCATGTTGGTCAGGCTGGTCTCGAACTCCTGACCTCGGGTGATCTGCCCACCTCGGCCTCCCAAAGTGCTAGGATTACAGGCATGAGCCACTGCACCCGGGTTTTTTTTTTTTTTTTTTAATCGTAGGTTTCTTACTGGTCCTGCTTCCATGAGTGGCTGTGACCAGGGGAAAAGGAAGAGGAACCTGTCGGCACAGGGAGGGGTCATCTTCACAACATTCCATTTAAACACAGAACTAGACAAGCACAGAGTCACTATTGTGGTTAGAAGTTGGCAGCATGGGGCCGGGCGCAGTGGCTCATCCCTGTAATCCTAGCGCTTTGGGAGGCTGAGGTGGGCAGATTGCCTGAACTCAGGAGTTCAAGACCAGCCTGGGCAACACGGTGAAACCCCATCTCTACTTAAATACAAAAAATTAGCCGGGCATGACAGTGCACACCTGTAGTCCCAGCTACTGGGGAGGCTGAAGCAGGAAAATTGCTTGAACCCAGGAGGTGGAGGTTGCAGTGAGCTGTGATCACGTCACTGCACTCCAGCCTGGGCAACAGAGTGAGACTCTGTCTCAAAAAAAAAAAAAAAAAAAAAAAATAGTTGGCAGCATGGGAAGGGGAAGGAACAGGTGGGGAGTGCGGGTGTTGTTAAAAAAAATACAGTCTCCCTCACAACTCGGGTGCCTGGGGGGAACTTGATCTGCTTCAACCCGAGAGGAATCAGAAGATCCAAAGCAGTCTGGGAAGGCCAGAACCGTCAGGGATGGAGGGAGAAGGAAAATCCACGGTGGGAGGTCTGTTTGGCAACTGGGCTGAAGGGATTGCCCTCCCCCTACTGGGGTCCCTCCAGCCCCTCCGGTCTGGTAGGAAGGGGGCAGCCTGCAACCCCTGAGGGCAGAGGTGGGGCTGCCAGATGCTCCAGGCAGGGAGCCAGAAAGGGCTCACAAAGGCTTGCCCTCCAGGGGGATGAAGGCACTGCCCCCCACCTTCTCTGCCAGGGTGCAGCGGTCCTTGACCTCCTCGTAGCAGTTTGCTTGTAATTCTTGCTTGATCCCTGTCAGCTTCTTCTTGATGGCATTTTTGGAGCTGGCATAGATCATTTTGCTCGTAAGGGGTGCCCATTCAGTGGCCCAGAAGATAAACACCAGGTCCTCCTTCTTGCTCTCCTTGGTCTCATAGATTGTGTCGTAGAGGGCACAGTGGCAGTTCTTATCTGGCAGCATCTTGACAAAGGCGGTGTAGGGGTCATGGATGGTCTGGCCCACGTCACCCACCAGGATCTCATTGCCTTCCCCCAGGATGATGTTCTTGTCCTCACTCAGGCAGAAGAGCACCGTCTTCTGTGCCTCTTCACCTTCTCTGGCGTCAAAGACTTACACACCTTCATGTCGTTGAACACCTTGATGACACCATCAGAGATGACTGAACCTTTTTTTTGTTTGTTTTTGAGATAGGGTCTCACTCTGTCTCCCAGGCTGGAGTGCAGTAGTGCAATCTCGGCTCACTGCAACCTCCACCTCCCGGCTCAAGCGATTCTCCTGACTCAGCCTCCAGAGTAGCTGGGACTATGGAGGTGTGCACCACCATGCCCAGTCAATTTTTTAAATTTTTTGTTGATACGGAGTCTCACTATGTTACCCAGGCTGGTCTCAAACTCCTAGGCTCAAGTGATCCACCCATCTTAGCCTCCTAAAGTGCTAGGATTACAGGCATGAGTCACCGCACAGGCCAGGGAGGGGATTTTTAGTGTGGTAATGAAGAGAGTTCTCCAAAGTTCAGCTCCAACTCAGGCATCTCTGGATCCAGCTGGTTTTTGTGTTTTCCTGGGGTTGAGCTTCTTCCTGGTACTTTTGGAAACAAGAACTTAAGGTGCAGCAGGTCACAAGTGGATATGTTTTCACAGTGCTTGCCCAACAAACTAGCGACCCTGGATTCTATTACTGTCATTTTACAGATAAGGAAACTGAGGCCTAGAAAGATCAAGAATATTTTCCATTTTCACATAACATAGTCTCATCAGGACTTCAGGTTGGGGAGCCACATTTACAAGCCATGCTGCTAGCTTTCTGCTGGGCTCCCTACCTAAGTTGAAGTGACTTTACTTGACAAGGACGGGAAACTTGAGCTACAGTGTTGAGTGACACTAACACAACCTACAGAGGGGACAGGAGGTACAGTAGAGCTCCATGAATGCATTAACCATAGGGTATTTCAAGGCCGGGCGTTGTCACTCACACCTGTAATCCCAGCATTTTGGGAGGCCAAGGCAGGTGGATTGCTTGAGCTCAGGAGTTTGAGACCAGCCTGAGCAACATGGCAAAACCCCGTTTCTACAAAAAATACAAACATTAGCTGGATGGTGGTGTGCACACCTGTAGTTCCAGCTACATGGCTGAGGCAGGAGGATCGCTTGAGCCTAAGAGACAGAGGTTGTGGTAAACTGAGATCTCGCCACTGCGCTCCAGCCTGGGTGACAAAATGAGACCCTGTCTCAAAAACAAAACATAGGGTGTTTCATTCATCAACAGTGCAACAAGAACAAGTGCTTGGAGAGTATGGTCACAGGAGATACTGCAGCCTCAAATTCCTGGGTTTGTGAACTGGGTTTTGAAGTGTGGATGAGAGTTTATTTAGGAAGGAGTTTTATTGATTTTCAGCAAACATTTATTGAGCATTTACTGACTATCTACTAGCACTATTTTGGGTCCTGAAAATACCTCATTGAACAAGGTAGACAAGGTCCTGGCCCTCATGGAGCCCAGTTTAATGCTAGCAAGGGAAGGAAGATAGCACTCAGATATTTATAAGTACAATAAAAAAGAAGAAAAAAACTCAGTGATTGGCAGATGGAATGCATTTTCCAGGTGATCAGAGGGAGAATAATTTTCACTTGGGCCAGAATGATGGAACGGAGCCAGTGGTGGAGACGGAACACACCAGGCAGAGGAAGGCATGATTGAGAAAAGGGTCCTACTGTCTAAGAGTTTTACAAGCAGGATTCCAGGGTGGCTGCAGCCAGTGACAGGGAGAAAGAACTAGGCAGGTCTTCGGGGCCCTGTAAATTTTGTTAAGGTATTTGGACTTGTATAAAAGACAAATGATGGAAAGAGGAAGCATTCTAATGGGAGAGAGAGAGTTTGTTTTGTTTCGTTTTGTTTTTATTGAGGCAGAGTCTTGCTTGCTCTGTCAACCAGGCTGGAGTGCAGTGGCATAATCTTGGCTCACTGCAACCTCTACCTCCCAGGTTCAAGCTATTCTCATGCCTCAACCTCCCGAGTAGCTGGAATTACAAATGTGTACCACCACACCTGGCTGATTTTTGTATTTTTAGTAGAGATGGGGTTTAACCATGTTGTCCAGGCTGGTCTTGAACTCCTGGCTTCAAGGGATTCACCCGTCTCAGCCTCCCAGAGTGCTGGGATTATAGGGCATAAGCCACCGTGCCCCGCTGAGAGAGAGCATTTGTTCAAGAAGCTGGAACTCAGAGAAGATGTGAGCTCCCTAAAGTCCCTCAAAAGTGCTGGGCCTGGCAGATCTCCTGGGCTCACTCCTTCCGGGGCCTGCTGTTTCCTCCTCTGGGCTGCTTTCCCCACTCCCAGGTGGCTGCTCACCCTCTCTCCTGCCTGTGGCTGTCCTTGCCCTCCCTGGCTTGTCTGCTGTAGTCAGTTCCTCTAATATGTCCTTCAAGTCATCTGTGCCATATGCCAACTAAAAACCCTGACTCCTAGGTTCCTTCTCCAGACATACTCTTACTGCTTAGCCTGGTTCAATGAGTATTCTTCCCAAATAAATCTACTTTCTGGAGTGATTTTTTTTTTTTGAGGTGGAGTCTTGTTCTGTTTTTTATGCTCATGGAGTCTGTGGTAAGGGGATTTCAGAAAACGTACACGGTGACAGCTTGTCTATGCTCCACGGTGCCCGGGGACTCAGCCAGAAACACCTGAAGGCTGGGAGTGACTTAAATCGCTGGGAGCTGAGGGCACAGTGGCTCACGCCTGTAATCCCAGCACTTTGGGAGGCCAAGGTGGGCAGATCATGAGGTCAGGAGATCGAGACCATCCTGGCTAACACGGTGAAACCCCGTCTCTACTAAAAATACAAAAAATTAGCTGGGCGTAGTGGCAGGCGCCTGTATTCTCAGCTACTTGGGAGGCTGAGGCAGGAGGATTGCTTGAACCCGGGAGGCGGAGTTTTCAGTAAGCCGAGATCGCACCACTGCGCTCCAGCCTGGGCGACAGAGCGAGACATCTCAGGAAAAAAAAAAAAAAAAAAATGGCTGGGAGCTGAAATCATCCAAAGGCTTCTTCATTCGCAAGTCCAGCCCCTGGGCTGGGATGACTCAAGGTTGGGGCCAGCTGGGATTGAAGACTGGAGTGACTCCAAGTGGCCTCTCAGCAGGTGGCTGGGTTCCAGGAGGGAGCATGCTCGGGAGGAGTGGCCAGAGAGCACGTGACCCAAAAACCAGGACAGATGCTGATCTGTGCGTAAGGGATGGATTTCAATTGTTTTTAGTCTGGATTTTTTTTTTTTAAGCATCTACTCAGGTACTTAAAATTAATCAGTGATGTATTCTGTGAAGTATTACTTTTCTTTAGGCGTTTCATCATTTTCTATTGATTGTTGTAGTTGAATGATTAATTATGTGTCATATATATTAAAAAGAATTGCTCCATTTATTTTGACCTTGTTTATAGAAATTTTCTCATGTAGTTGTTTTTATTTTATTTTACTTTTTTTTGAGACGGAGTCTCGCTCTGTCGCCCAGGCTGGAGTGCAGTGGTGTGATCTCGGCTCACTGCAGCCTTCTGCCTCCCGGGTTCAATCAATTCTCCTGCCTCAGTCTCCTGAGTAGCTGGGATTACAGGCATGCGCCACCATGCCCGGCTAATTTTTGTATTTTTAGTAGAGACGGGGTTTCACCATGTTGGCCAGGCTGATCTTGAACTCCTGATGTCATGATCCACCCGCCTTGGCCTCCCAACCAGGTTTCATCTTTTTCCAAATGCCTAACCAATTTTTCATGCACATTTACTGAATAACCTCTCCATGGGTGTTTGAAAGTGCTGTGATTGTGTGTCTATGTCTTAGCACCATGGTTACACCAAGGAAACTGCTTCAGAACATGGACTGTAACATGTTTTTTCATTCCTCAGTGCTCCCAGAAATGCTAAGTACATCTTAGGTAGTTAATTAATGCTTTGCGATAAATTAGAGCACCTGCAGTGTCAACTTCAGAGGGAGAAAATAGAACTACTTATATTGAATTTCGGTGGTGTGAGTGACTGCTTTTAGTCACTGGGTCAAGCTGGGAAACCATTATATTTTTTGCGGGCAGTTGGTTTGTTGCAATGTATTAGTCACTCTCTCCCCAACCCCTAAAATAAACGGGGGCCAGCTGCTTATGTCACTGCTAACATGGGATCTACAGCTGGCCCCAGATTCACTTCAGTGCCTAGACTGGAGGTCAGCAAACTACTGCCCATGGGCCATTTGCTTTTGGGTCTATTTTTATAAATAAAGTATTACTGGCATGCAGCCAGACCCACTGGGTAATTATTGCCTCTGGCTGCTTTTGTGCTACAGTGACAGCGTTGAGTACTTGCCACAGAGACCATAAAATCTGCAAAGCCTAAGATATTTACTATCTGACCTTTTACAGAAAAAGTTTGCTGACCTCTGTTCTAGGTTTACAGTAATAGTTCTATCAAGATATCCTGGGGAATAAATCACAATAGAAAGGGTCTTTTAGGGCTGGGCGCAGTGATTCATGCCTGTAATCCCAGCACTTTGGGAGGCTGAGGCCGGTGGATCACCTGAGGTCAGGAGTTCGAGATGAGCCTGGCCAACATGGCAAAACTCTGTCTCTACTAAAAATACAAAAATTAACCGGGCATGGTGACGCGTGCCTGTAATCTCAGCTACTTGGAAGCTGAGGCAGGAACAATCACTTGAACCTGGGAGGTGGAGGTTGCAGTGAGCTGAGATCGTGCCACTGCACTCCAGCCTGGGTGACAGAGCGAGATTCTGTCTCGAAAGAAAGAAAGAGAGAGAGAGAGAAAGGAGGGAGGGAGGGAGGAAGGAAAGAAAGAAAGAAAGGGTCTTTTTGTTGTTGTTTTGGTCTCGCATGAGATAAGAAGAAAAGCATTGCCAAGTCTACTTGGCTGGCTGATTTCTGTCCTGCCAAGCCCTTGCCTGGAAGAGTTAATGCAGGCAGAGTTCTTCACAACTCAAAAGGCCTTCTTAGTCTCACAAGTCTCTTCAATATCCCCTCACCTTTCCTTTGCTGCTAAACTACATACAGGAGGGTCTTTTATGTAGGTGTTATTTTTGGGGTTTTTTTGTGTGGTTTTTGTTTGTTTGTTTGTTTGTTTTGACACGGACACGGAGTCTCGCTCTGTCGCCCAGGCTGGAGTGTAGTGGCGCGATCTCAGCTCACTGCAAGCTCCGCCTCCCGGGTTCACGCCATTCTCCTGCCTCAGCCTCCCGAGTAGCTGGGACTACAGGTGCCCACCACCAAGCCTAGCTAATTTTTTGTATTTTTTAGTAGAGGCGGGGTTTCACTGTGTTAGCCAGGATGGTCTCGATCTCCTGACCTCGTGATCCACCTGCCTCGGCCTCCTAAAGTGCTAGGATTACAGGCGTGAGCCACCATGCCCGGCTGTAGGTGGTTTTTTATAAGTTGATGTGTCAGTTATGTTGGCTGTGTTGTATTTAATCTTTTTTTTTTTCTTTTTTGAGACAGGGTCTCAGTCACACTGTCGCCCAGGCTGCAGTGCAGTGGTGGGATCAAAGCTCCCTGCTGGGCCTCCCAAAGTGCCAGGATTACAGGCATGAGCCACTGCACCTGGCGGGAGGTTTTTTATTTTTTATATTTTTATGTAAAAAAAATTCTTTTAGAGCCAGAGTCTCTGTCGCCCAGGTTGGAATGCAGTGGCACAATCTCGGCTCACTGCAACCTCTGCTTCCTGGGTTCAAGTGATTCTCATGCCTCAGCCTCCTGAGTAGCTTGGATTACAGGCACGCACCACCACACCCAGCTAATTTTTTGTATTTTTAGTAGAGACAGGGTTTCACCATGCTGGTCAGGCTAGTCTCAAACTCCTGAGCTCAGGCAATCCGCCCACCTCGGGCTCCCGAAGTGCTAGGATTACAGGCATCAGCCACCACACCTTGCCTGTATGGGAGATTTCTAAGTGTGTATTGTTTTCTTCCACAAACAAAAGAAGCTAGTTCAGGCCGGGCCCAGTGGCTCACACCTGTAATCGCAGCACTTTGGGAGGCCAACGATGGCCGATTACTTGAGGTCAGGAGTTCGAGACCAGCCTAGCCAACATGGTGAAACCTGTCTCTACCAAAAATACAAAAATTAGCCAGGCATGGTGATGCATACCTGTAATCCCAGCTACTTGGGAGCCTGAGGCAGGAGAATCGCTTGAACCCTGGAGGGTGGAGGTTGCAGTGAGCCGAGATCGTGCCACTGCACTCCAGCCTGGGCAACAGAGTGAGACCTGGCCACCAAAAAAAAAAAAAAACTAGTTCACACTTATTTTTCGGCAAACTCCAGGTTAGAAGACCTGAGCTTCTCGCAGAAGGTGAACCCAAGTTATCATCTAGGACAGAGTCTCCCAACTTCTGTGCAATTGACATTTGGGAAAATAATTCTTTGTTATGGGAGGCTGCCGTGTGCATTGTAAGATGTTCAGCAGCATCCCTCCCTGGCCTCTATTTACTAGATGCCAATAGCACTGCTCCCCCCATAGGATACCAAAAATGTTCCTAGATGTTGCCAGATGTTGGAGGAGGGCAAATTGCCCCCGGCTGAGAACCACTGGTCTAGACTTCACTCTAGACCCTGAGGGTGGTCTATAGACTAGCAGCATCAACATCACCTGATATGAAGTTAAAAATGCAGAATCTCAGGTTCTTCCAAACTACTGAATCAAAATCTGCAACTTATCAAGCTGCCCAGGCGATTGCTAATGTGCATAGGAATTCTGAATCTGAAGAATATGATTCCTGTGCACATTAGGGATCACCTGGGGAGCTTGATCAATTGCAGATTTTGTGTTCGAAAAGCGCAGGGCCGAACAGTGTTGGGTGGTAACACTGTGGCTGCTTTCTCCTCCTGCCCGCTGGAAAAAGGCCATCATTATGCTGCATCTATATTCATCCTGATTCCGGTTCAAACACAAGACAACATATTGAGCACATTCCTTGGCCCAATACTGCATTTAGAGACAGCATAGTGTCCTGGGAAGTGCTGGAGCTTTGTCATCAGACAGACCTGGGTTCAAAAGGAGGGTCTGCCCTGCCTTGCCCTGTCCTGGGGGATCATTTAATCCCTGCTCCAGGTTCTTCATCTGAAAACCCCTAGTCGAGGCTTCAGAATAGAAAGTCCTTCAGAACAGCCCATCATGAAGAGATTGGTACACTTTTAGCTTCAAAGTTTTCGTATCATTTATATGTTCCTCACAAGCGATGAGATCTCAACCGCACCAAGTTTCCAACCAACAGGACTGTACTACCTGGAATAGCTTCCTCTGTCAGGAAAGCTCCAGCTAGTTCAGAAGTGTCTCCTTCGACCTTTAAGTCAATGCCGACAAAAACCAGCAGGTGGCAACAGCTTGGCTTCTTTGAGTTTGGAAATGGCCAAGCAGTTTGTGGTCAATAAAAATAAATTCTCC
Organism: Homo sapiens; assembly: GCF_000001405.40. Lineage (NCBI taxonomy): Eukaryota > Metazoa > Chordata > Mammalia > Primates > Hominidae > Homo > Homo sapiens. The sequence continues at coordinate 241,985,940 of NC_000001.11, read as the reverse complement.
CCAACTAATTAATTAATTCTCCCCAATTAATTAATTTTTTTTAGACGGAGTCTCGCTGTGTTGACCAGGCTGGAGTGCAGTGGCGCCATCTCGGCTCACGGCAACCTCTGCCTCCTGGGTTCAAGTGATTCTCCTGCCTCAGCCTCCCAAGTAGCAGGAATTACAGGCATGCACCACTACGCCTAGCTAATTTTTGCATTTTTAGTAGAGACAGGTTTCATCATGTTGGCCAGGCTGGTTTCCAACTCCTGACCTCAAATGATCCACCCGCCTTGGCATCCCAAAGTGCTGAGATTACAGGCGTGAGCCACTGCGCCAGGCCTCATTTTATTTTTATATGCCACTTTTACCAAAAGATAAACACTGCCTGAAAATCTAGAAAACATAGCCACCACCATGCCACTGATACACCAAGCTATGGTATTAGAATGCCTTGTCAGTTCCAGAATCAGATTAACACCTCAACTCATCAGTGTAGACTCCTGAATCAACGGGAAATAAGAATCTAAAAGTGGGCGGGGTGGGTGGTGGGGGTGGTCCAGGTTCTTCCTTCAATTGATCTTGGTTCCAGAGTAACTTAAGTCCGGGCACGGTGGCTCATGCGTGTAATCCCAGCACTTTGGGAGGCTGAGGCAGATGGATCACTGGATGTCAGGAGTTCAAGACCAGTCTGGCCAACATGGTGAAACCCTGTTTCTACTAAAACTACAAAATAAAAAAGTAGCTGGGGCTGGATGCAGTGGCTCACGCCTATAATCCTTGCACTTTGGGAGGCCGAGGCGGGCAGATCACCTGAGGTTGGAAGTTCGAGACTGGCCTGACCAACATGGAGAAACCCTGTCTCTACTAAAAATACAAAATTAGCTGGGCGTGGTGGCACATGCCTGTAATCCCAGCTACTCAGGAGGCTGAGGCAGGAGAATCACTTGAACCCAGGAGGCAGAGGTTGCAGTGAGCCGAGATCACGCCACTGCACTCCAGCCTGGGCGACAAGAGCGAAACTCCGTCTCAAAGGAAAAGTAACTTGGTATTTAGAGAAGGATACAGGCTGGGCATGGTGACTCATGCCTGTAATCACAGCACTTTGGGAGGCAGAGGCAGGAGGATTGCTTGAGGCTAGGAGTTTGAGGCCAGCCTGGGCAACATAGTGAGACCCCATCTCTAAAGAAAAAAAAATTATTTAAAAAAATTTTTTAAAGGAGAGGGATGCTCTCAATAGGAGACAGAAGGTTTTCAATTACTGAAAACGACCAGCCCCAATTGTAAAACAAAATGGACAGTGTCTTGTGGATTTAAATGACACGGTCTTCTAAGTGCCATATTTTCTGGGAACAGCCCCTTGCTTTGGCCCTCAAAGATGTTGCAATGGCTTTGCATGCCACATCCTAACATTTCACGAGCTGGCCCTACTCAGTGGCTCATTCAGTCTGGCCCACAGCCTGCTTCTCCAGCGTTTTGACGTCACTGCTCACAGTGCTTCCTCTTTTGCCTAGAGTGTGCTCCCTCTAGGGATGAGCTCCTTCCACTCATTTTTCAAGGTTCAAGGCAATATCTTGGCTTGGTTATGTGCTCCTTCCATTTGACTCAGTATTTATTTAGGATCTACAATGGCCCTAGAACTCTTAGTCAATATTCACTAAGTCCTTGAAAGAGTTTATGCATGTATGTTTACATGTATGTATTTTTAGAGATGGGGGCTGGGCGTGGTGGCCCAAGCCTGTAATCCCAGCACTTTGGGAGGCCGAAGCAGGTGGATCACTTGAGGTCATGGGTTTGGGACCAGCCTGGCCAACATGGTGAAACCCTGCCTCTACTAAAAATACGAAAATTAGCCAGGTGTGGTGGCACATGCCTGTAGTCCCAGCTATATAGGAGGCTGAGGCAGGAGAATTGCTTGAACCCGGGAGGCAGAGGTTGCAGCGAGCCGATATTGTGCCATTGCACTCCAGCCTGGGTGACAGAGCGAGACTCAGTCTCAAAAAACAAAAAGACAGAGATGGGGGCCTCACTTTGTTGCCCAGGCTGGTCTTGAACTCCTGGGCTCAAGAGATCCTTCTGCCTCAGCCTCCCAAAGTACTGAGATTATAGGCATGAGCCTCCATTCCTGGCCTCGCAAATATTTATTAATACTATTATTCTCAATTTTAAAGACAAAAAACCTGACATTTAAAAAAATCAAGTAATTTTCCTAGAGGCACAAAATCAGTAATCCTGCCGATCAGATTCAGACTTGTATCATCTTTGTGCCAAATACCATGTGGGCCAGACACCAAAAAAGATTATTTGTTGTTTGTCTGAAATTTAAATTGAACTAGGGTGTCCTGTATTTTTACTTTTTAAATCTGGCAACTCTGCGCGTGCCCAAGCATGGGCTGTGGATGGCCCCGTCCCTTAGGAGTCTAACTCTTCATTACACAAATTTTTAAACAAATGAAATTGCTGGGCGAGGTGGCTTGCACCTGTCGTCCCAGCATTTTGGGAGGCTAAAGCGGATGGATCACTTGAGGTCAGGAGTTCAAGACCAGCCTGGCCAACATGGCGAAAGCCCACCTCTACTAAAAATACAAAAATTAGCTGGGCTGGTGGCAGACACCTGTAATCCCAGCTGCTCGGGAGGCTGAGGCACAAGAATCACTTGAACCTGGGAGGCAGAGGTTGCAGTGAGCGGAGATTGCACCATTGCCCTCTAGCCTGGGCAACAGAGTGAGACTCTGTCTCAAAAAACCAAACCAAACAAAACAAAACAAACAAACAAACAAAAAATGAAAATATACACCTAACTTTTGGGTCCTTATTTAAATTTCAGATAAACAGCAAATAATCATTATAACACAGTAAACAGGCTGGGCGTGGTGGCTCACGCCTGTAATCTCAGCACTTAGGGAGGCTGAGGTGGGCAGATCACTTGAGGCCTGGAGTTCAAGACCAGCCTGGCCAACATGATGAAACCCCATCTCTACTAAAAATACAAAAATTAGTCAGGCACGGTGGCTCGTGCCTGTAATCCCAGCTACTTGGGAGACTGAGGCAGGATAATTGCTTGAACCTGAGAGACGGAGGATGCAGTGAGCTGGGATCACACCACTGCACTGTAGCCTGGGTGACAGAGAGAGACTCTGTCTCAAAACAAAAACAAAAACAAAAACAAAAGATAGTAAACATATTTTTCTTGACTTCTTCATGTCTACTTTTCCAAACAGATTCTTGTTTATATGCAGATAACAAGGAGCTTGCTAAAATAGAAAAACACAGGTGAAGAAATCAAAAAACAATGCAGATGTCATAACTCATAGACCAAGACTTGGGATCAAAGCTCCTTCAGACAACAAACGCAAAACAGATATTTAGAGCATGAAATTAGAACAATTAAAGGAGCAAAGTAATGATGAAGAACTATGTTTTTGGTGATAACATGCTCAGATTTTCTGAGCCAGTTCTGAAGATCTTTCAGAAAAAGTGGCTTTCAGGTTGGAACCTGAATAAATTACCCATGCAAGTGTGGGGTGGGGCAAGCGTGTGGCTCCGAGACTGGAGGGGTGTGGGTGTAGTGAAGTAGAAGAGGACAGAGATGCCCTTCCGCCCTTCCTTTTTTTTTGAGACTGAGTCTCACTCCGCTCACTCTGTCACCCAGGCTGGACTGCAGTGGCATGATCTCTGCTCACTGCAACCTCTGCCTCCTGGGTTCAAGCAATTATCTGCCTCAGCCTTCTGAGCAGCTGGGATTACAGGCACCTGCCACAATGCCAGGCTAATTTTTTGTATTTTTAGTAGAGACGGGGTTTCACCATCTTGGCCAGGCTGGTCTTGAACTCTTGACCTCGTGATCCACCCGCCTTGGCTTCCCAAAGTGCTGGGATTACAGGCGTGAGCCACCGGCCTGACCCGCCGCCCCGCCCCCCACCCGCTTTTTTTTTTTCAGGACTAATTACGTTATAATTGGGTATTTGGTAAACTCCAAAGCCCTTCTTTAAGAGAAGTCAAATCTCAGAGCATAAAGCTTTTGCACAAATGTAAAGAGATTTTCTTTTTTTTGAATTTTTTTCTTTTGAGACAGGGTCTTGCTCTGTTGCCCAGGCTGGAGTGCAGTCGTACGATCTCAGCTCACTGCAACCTCCACCTCCCGGATTCAAGTGGTTCTCCTGTCTCAGCCTCCCAAGTAGCTGGAATTACAGAAGTGCACCATCACACCTGGCTGATTTTTGTATTTTTATTATAGTTGAGATGGGGTTTCGCCATGTTGGCCAGGCTAGTTTTGAACTCCTGGACTCATGTGATCCGCCTGCCTCGGCTGCCCAAAGTACTGGGATTACAGGCATGAGCCACCATTCCTGGCCCTCTATCTGGTTTACCTTTCCAATTTTTTTTTTATATTTTTATTTTTTGAGGTGGAGTTTTGCTCTTGTTGCCCAGGTTGGAGTGCAGTGGCATGATCTTGGCTCACTGCAACCTCCGCCTCCCGGGTTCAAGCGATTCTCTTGTCTCAGCCTCCTGAGTAACTGGGATTACAGGCACCCGTCACCACACCCAGCTAATTTTTTTTGTTTTTAGTAGAAATGGGGTTTCATCATGTTGGCCAGGCTGGACTCAAACTCCTGACTTAAGGTGATCCACCCACCTCGGCCCCCCAAAGTGCAGGGATTACAGGCGTGAGCCACTGCACCCGACCTCTGGTTTACTTTTAACATAAAGTTTTTAGTCCTTAAGGGCAAAGGATGGAAGAATACACAATTTTACCCCTTACTGTGTGATCCCCAACATGGATAACAAAGCAGGTTGAGTTTAAGTGGAAATCAGAAGCATGTCTCTTTGGCCTGGCATGGTGGCTTGCGCCTGTAATCCTAGCACTTTGGGAGGCCGAGGCAGGTGGATCACCTGAGGTAAGGAGTTCAAGGCCAACCTGGCCAACATGGTGAAACTCCGTCTGTACTAAAAATATAAAAATTAGCCAGTTGTCCTGGCGCATGCCTGTAATCTCAGCTACTCTGGAGGCTGAGGCACAAGAATCGCTTGAACATGGGAGGCGGAGGTTGCGGTGAGACGAGATTACACCACTGCACTCCAGCTTGGGCGACAGAGCGAGACTCCGTCTCAAAATATAAATAAAAAATAAAAGTAAGTAAACACTACTCTCCTGTTCTTGAAACACTTTTTCTTTTGTCTTTTAAGAGATGGGGTTTTGTGCTGTTGCCCAGTCGGGTCTTGAACTCTTGGGCTCAAGCGATCCTCTCACCTCAGCTTCCCAAAGTGCCAGGATTCCAGGTGTGAGCTACCATGCTCGGCCAAAACTCTTTTATGATTCCCAGTTGTGTGCTGGATAATTACTAGCATCCATGGTACGTTATGTGAGGTCCTCAATGAACTACCTGTCTGGCCTCATTTCTTGGGACTCTACTTCTAATGCCAAAGCTACAGACAGATTTTATTTGTGTTTAAGGACTATCCTCAAGTTCATCTGGCACCTTGTGTCTGTAGCATGTTTTAGTGACTGCTGCTTCTTCATGTGGCTTTGCTTTTCTTTTTTTGTACTTAACATTCTTCAGAGGCTGGCCATGGTGGCGCACGTCTGTAATCTCAGCACTTTGGGAGGCTGAGGTGGAAGGATTGCTTGAGTTCAGGAGCTGGAGACCAGCCTGGACAACATATGGAGACCTTGTCTCAATTTAAAAAAAAATTCCTCAGATGAAACCCTGAGAATTCCTGTTCTAACTAGCCCTCTTCCAAGGACATTCCCAATGAGCCTAAGAAAATCAACTCCCTGCCCCATATTTGCTCTGTAGAGAAATAGGTAAACACCAGCTGGGCATATCTGGCAACACTTTCAGCAATAAAATCAACTTTGGGTTGTGAAAACCAGATTTATTTATTTGGATATGGGACAGGATGGGCCTTTGGAAATTTTTCTAAACCTCAGTGCCATTTTTAGCATCTTTTAGAGATGCAAAATAATTTAACTTGGTGGCACAGAAATGGATTCTACGTGGCAGAGCCTGGGATGACTGATTTCCCTCTGTGGAACTGGCCTGTATTTGGGGTGCAGCTGACAGCTGCCGCACCTCAGCAAGCACTGAGAATTCAAACCAGCTTTGCCCAGAGCAGAGGTCCACAAACTTTTTCTGGAAAGGGCAAAATCATAAATATTTTAGACTCAAAGTTGTCTGCCACCACTCACCGACTCTGCCATTGTAGTTCAAAAGCAGCCAGAGACAATAAGTAAATAAATGGCTGTAGGATAAAATTATCTTTATGGATACCGAAATTTGGATTTAAACTTTTTCACATGTCCTGAAATGTAATTTTTCTTTTGTTTTTTCCCAATCATTTGAAAATGCAAAAAGCATTCTTAAAGAGCTGTACAGAAATATATAATAGGGTGGATTTGGCCCCTGGGCCACAGTTTGCTGACCTCGGCTGGATCAATGGCTCTGAGACATCAGCACTCATCAGCATCCACGTGGAGGGCTTATTTCATTTATTTATTTGAAGCCTACAACTCATAGAATTGGAGGACTTATTTTAAGCAAGATTTCCAGGCCTCACCCTAAGGGTGACTTTCTGAGTCAGAATGTCTAAGACACAAGTCCCCAACCCCCAGGCCACAGACCTGTAACCGTGAGTGGCCTGTTAGGAACCAGGCCGGACCGCAGGAGGTGAGTGGCAGGCGAGTGAGCGTTATGGCCAGAGCTCCGGTCAGACCAGGGGCGGCGTTACATTCTCACGGGAGTGTGAGTCCTGTCGTGAACTGCGCGTGTGAGGGCTCCGGGTTACGCGCTCCTCGTGAGACTCTGATGCCTGATGATCTCAGGGGGAGCAATTTCATCCCCAAACCATCCCCCATCCCACCACCTCTGCCCTCGGACCGGATTTTGTCTTCCACAAAACTGGTCCCTGGTGTCAAAAAGGTTGGGTGGGGATCACTGATTTAGGGTGTAGGGTGGAGCTGGAACAACATTCCCGCCACCCCCGCATAACCATTTCATTCACAGCATCAAGAGTCTGAACATTTTTAACACATTTCCAGGTGACCCGTTGCTACAGGTCTGGCCTAGAATTCTTTTTTTTTTTTTTTTTTTTTTTGAGACAGAGTCTCACTCTGTCGCCCAGGCTGGAATACAGTGGTGGGATCTCGGCTCACTGCAACCTCTGCCTCCCAGGTTCAAGCAATTCTCATGCCTCAGCCTCCCAGGTAGGGGGAACTACAGGCAGTTGCCACCACGCCCGGCTTATTTTTTGTATTTTAGTAGAGATGAGGTTTCACCTTGTTGCCCAGGATGGTCTCAAACTCCTGAGCTCAGACAATCCACCTGGCTTGGCCTCCCAAAGTGCTAGGATTATAGGAATGAGCCGCCGTGCACAGCCTGGCCTAGACCTCTACAAAGCCTGCTGTCTTGTTTCATTCAACAGCTTGAGGTTCCAGCCCCAATGACAGTCACATTGTATAAGGACTGATCTTTCATCAGCTGTGGCTGTGGTACAGAAAGTCAGGGCTGGGCCTCCACCAGAGGGGCCTTGGGGCAAAAGGGAAGCAAGACAAAAAGAAGTATTCCCATCCAGGCAAGCAGCAGGTCCAGAAGGTGAATAAGAAGTTGATGCTGGAGCAGCTTGAGTCTTCTAGGAATGCCAGTGAATCAACCACCTAACCCTGGCCTGGGATTCGGTCCTGGCTCTGGGTTCAAGGCAGCCTCAGCTCAAGGCACTGGAGGGTTGGGAGCAGGCTCTGTAAGGGTGGGGCCTGGGATATGTGTGGGGCCAGGAACAATCTCTCCATGATCTTTGCAAAAACTTTCTTCACCAGAGACAAGGAAAACCAAGATTGTGAAAACAGAATCTAAGTGGAGTTTCGCTATTGTTGCCCAGGCTGGAGTGCAATGGTGAGATCTCGGCTCACTGCAACCTCCGCCTCCTAGGTTCAAGCGATTCTCCTGCCTCCGTTTTCCGAGTAGCTGGGATTACAGGCATGTGCCACCACACCCAGCTAATTTTGTATTTGTAGTAGAGATGGGGTTTCTCCATGTTGGTCAGGCTGGTCTCCACCTCCTGATCTCAGGTGATCCACCCGCCTCGGCCTCCCAAAGTGCTGGGATTACAGGCGTGAGCCACCACGCCTGGCCGAGATTGTTTTTAAATTGTGTTTGTTGTTAAAAAAAAAAAAAAAAGTTAGCTGGGCATGGTGGTGGGCGCCTATAATCCCAGCTACTTGAGAAGCTGAGGCAGGAGAATCGCTTGAACCTGGGAAGCAGAGGTTGCAGTGAGCCGAAAACCTGCCATTGCACTCCAGCCTGCGTGTCACAGCGAGACTCTGAGTCAAAAAACAAAAATAAAAGGTAAATTGTGTTTGATGTGTGCTTTACTTCACGATCATTTTGTGTTGCAAAAGCGCTTTCACAGTGGTATGGGAGGCAGGACTCTGTGTATCTGATTCTCAGGGCAGCCATGTGCCGGTGTGACCTCACCAATCCCTCTGTGATCTAGGCTCCCATTACTATTATTAGGGAGGGAAACTTTTCCTCTGCTTTCTTAGGTCCGGTGTCTGGGGGCCTACAAATAAAATTAACAAAAAAAACAGCTCAACAGGAGAAAAATCACATCATTTTTATTAATGTTTATAAGTACTGCATGAAAGTTCACCAAAAAGAAATGAAACTTGAAAAAGCAGTTAGGCTCTGGGAATTTACATGCCATTTTATCAAAATAAAGGAGATCTGGGTGCAGTGGCTCATGCCTGTAATGCCAGCACTTTGGGAGGCTGAGGTGAGAGAACTGCTTGAGCCCAGGAGGTTGAGATCAGCCTGGACAACACAGCAAGATCTCTCTTTTTTTTGAGACAGAGTCTCGCTCTGTTGTCTAGGCTGGAGTGCAGTGGTGTGATCTCGGCTCACTGCAACCTCCGCTTCCTGGGTTCAATTCTTGTGCCTCAGCCTCCCAAGCAGCTGGGACTACAGGCACAAGCCAGCACACCTGGCTAATTTTTGTATTTTTTGTAGAGACAGGGTTTCACCATTTTGGCCAGGCTGGTCTCGAACTCCTGACCTCATGATCCACCCGCCTTTTGGCCTCCCAATGTGCTGGGATTACAAGCGTGAGCCACTGTGCCCGGCCAGCACAGCAAGATTTTACCTCTGCCAAAAACAAGAAAAAGAAATTAACCAAGCTCACAGTCAGTGTGCCTGTAGTCCCAGCTACTCAGGAGGCTGAGGTGGGAGGATCCCTTGAGCCCAGGAGTTCGAGGTTGCAGTGAGCTATAATCACACCACTGCAATCCAGCCTAGATGACAGAGCAAGTCCCTCTCTGGAAAAACAAGAAAAAGAGAAAGGGGTTTGGGATTTGACAGAAAATAAATTACGGGGAAGTGACTAGGAAATAAAGGGGAGGCCAGTGAAAGATAACGGCCATTCTAGTAAGGTATTTCTCTTTATGCAAATTTACCTCAGTGTTGACTCTTCTTCTCCAGTGGAGAGAGTAGCTCTTTGGGGAGGGGCGGGGAAAGCACCATCACACAGAGAAATTTATGCCCTGCTTTTAGGCAGATAAGGGAAGGGCGGAGAACTCTTCCTCCATCTGTTGATTCTCAAGTGCCTTCAACTCAGAATAATCCTTATGCCGAGGCAGTATATTTGGGGGTGACGTATCTTAAGCCCCTTTATTCCCATCATCACTTGTTTGAGAATTGGCCTGCTGGGACATGAATACTATTTTCCCCACTCCCTCTGTGACTTTGGTAAAGTTACTTAACATCTCGTATGCCTCAGAACCCCCGTTTGCAAAAACAGAGGTAAAAATAGCACCTATCGGCCGGGCACGTTGGCTCACGTCTGTAATCCCAACACTTTGGGAAACCAAGGCGGGTGGACGACAAGGTCAGGAATTGGATACCAGCCTGGCCAACATGCTGAAACCCCGTCTCTACTAAAAATACAAAAATTAGCCAGGTATGGTGGTGCGTGCTCATAGTCCCAGCTACTCAGGAGGCTGAGGCAGGAGAATTGCTTGAACCCGGGATGTGGAGGTTGCAGTGAGCCAAGACCGCACCATCGCACTCCAGCCTGGGAAACAGAGTGAAACTCTGTCTCAAAAAAAAAAAAAATTATATACTCAGCCAGTGTGGTGGCTCATGCCTGTAATCCCAGCACTTTGGGAGATTGAGATGGGTGGATCACCTGAGGTCAGGAGTTCAAGACCAGCCTGACTAACATAGTGAAACCCTGTCTCTAGTAAAAATACAAAAATTAACAGGGCTTGGTGGCGGGCCCCTGTAGTCCCAGCTACTCGGGAGGCTGAGGCAGGAGAATCCCTTGAACCTGGGAGGCAGAGGTTGCAGTGAGCCAAGGTCGTGCCATTGTACTCCAGCCTGAGCAACAAGAGTGAAACTCTGTATCAAAAAGAAAAATAAATAAAAAAATCATATACTCAAAGGGAATGAAATCAGCATCTCAAAGAGATATCTGCACTCCCACGTTCATGGCAGCATTATTTACATAGCCGAAATATGGAAACTTGTGTCCATTGACAGATTAGTTTTAAAAATGTGGGGTGTATATGTATACGTGTATAGACTTTTTCTTTATATGTACACAGTGGAATATTAGCCTTAAAAAGAAGGAGATCCTGCCATGCGTAACATGAATGAACCTAGATAGAAGACATTATGCTAAGTTAAATAAGCCAGACACAGAAATAAAAATACGGCATGATTTGGCCAGGCGTGGCGGCTCACGCCTTTAACCCCAGCACTTTGGGAGGCTGAGGGGGGTGGATCATGAGGTCAGGAGATCGAGACCATCCTGGCCAACATGGTGAAACCCTGTCTCTGCTAAAAATACAAAAATTAGCAAGGTGTGGTGGCACGTGTCTGTAATCCCAGCTACTCGGGAGGCTGAGGCAGGAGAATCACTTGAATCAGGGAGTCAGAGGTTGCAGTGAGCCAAGATCACACCACTCCAGCCTGGCGATAGAGCGAGACTCCGTCTCAATAAATAAATAAATTAATTAAATTAAATACTGCACGATTTCTTTTATACGTGGCATGTGAAAGAAGTTTAATACATAGAAAAAGAATAGAATGAATGGTGGTTACCAGTATAATGGCAGGGTTGGGATTTGGGGGAAGAATGGGGAGCTGTAGATCAAGGGGTACAAAGTTGCAGTTATGTTGGATGGATGTCTAGGAATCTAGTACACAGCATAAGGACTATTGTTAATATTGCATTATATACTGGAAATTTGCTAAGAGAGTAAATTACTGTAGTAATCATTTAAAGTATGCATATGCATAGACAGGCATCATATTGTGTACCTTAAATACGTACAATATAGCTCAAATCCATGATTCCAGCCACAAGGCCTGGCATGGCCTATTCCATTCACTCCTCTAGCATCACCTTACACCACTGTCTCCTTTGATCAGTATCTGTGGCTTGTTCTTCCTCTTCTCTTCTTTTTCCCAGCCCCAGGCTTTCTTGTACTCCTTATCACCACTGTAGGTCAATTTTAATTTGTGAGCTGTTTGTTTGACCTTTGTTTCTTCTACCAGATAAACAAGTGTGTGTGCTGAATATTCAGCAATCCTGAACACCCAGCATCTGGCACAGCTCGTAGCACCTGTAGGCACTTGGAAAACACATGCAGAATGAATGAAAGAATATGAGTGACCAAAGAAGTCATTGGAGAATTTCCCATACTGCAGGCTTGTTGAAGTTGCTTACTTGGTACTTTACTGAGAAGGCATTGGCAAGCTGGCTTTACTAATAGTTCCTACCACTCACTGTGCCCGCTATCTCTCAACAAGCATTGATTAAACACCTACTGTGGTCAGTCCCCTGAGCTTGGCATCGTCAGAGGCATGTAAACCAGAGCAACTCCAACTTGAATGAGGCTGGGTAAAATGAGGCTGAGACCTACTGGGCTGTATTCCCAGACAGTGAAGGCATTCTAAGTCACAGGATGAGATAGGAGGTTAGCACAAGATACAGCTCATAAAGACATTGCTGATAAAACAGTTTGCAGTAAAGAAGCCAGCCAAAACCCACCAAAACCAAGATGGCCACAAAAGTGACCTCTGGTCATCCTCACTGCTACACTCCCACCAGCACCATGACAGTTCATAAATGCCATGGCAACGTCAGGAAGTTGCCCTATATTGTCTAAATAGGGGAGGCATGAATAATTCACCCCTTGTTTAGCATATCATTAAGAAATAACCATAAAAATGGGCAACCAGCAGCCCTCGGGGCTGCTCTGTCTAGGGAGTAGCCATTTTCTTATTCCTTTACTTTCCTAATAAACTTGCTTTCACTTTTCTATATGGACTCACCCTGAATTCTTTCTTGCACAAGATCCAAGAACGCTCACTTGGGGGTCTGGATCAGGACCCCTTTCCTGTAACAGTGCTAGCCATAGCAATGGACACAATGGCCAGAAAGCTCTCACCTCATGAAGCACCAGGCATTTATAATCTAATTACTTTGTTGTTACTTTGCATTTTGATAGAATTTCCAACTCAGAGGTGAACTGCAAGGTTGGTACAAGGAACTTCCCCATGCCCTTCCCTAAGATTCACAAATGAATTTTATTTTGCTCCATTTTGAGAGAAAATTTTCCTTCTAATGTTAAACTTGAATGCACGAGTTTAGAGAAATTTTGGTAAAGAAAACTTTGGGGGGTTTAAATGAGTTAGCAATATTTAGTACTGTGGCCAGTTGCTGTGGAATGTTTTATTCATACAATTCCTTTTCTTCCTAATTATGAGTCACTGAGCTGACCATATTGCCTATAAAATGGGGTGACTGCACCCTCAGCATGGTGCTAGGGGAATGAATTAATGATAGTGAAGTGTATTTTAATAATATTTGGTGAAAGACATCATGCACAAATGAACTATGCTTACTCCCTTTTCCCTTCTCCTACAGCTCACAGCTGTGACCAATTTTATTTTCATTACTAGGATTAGCGTACATTTTCCTTGCCTGGTTTCCACTTCCCTCATGGTGGGATCTTACCCTCACTCTCCCCTCCACCCCCAGCCCCAGCTTCCAACAGTCACATGTGCAAGTGTCCAGCTGCCTTTGCAATTGCATCATTTGTGAGCTCCCGTTGCCATGGCAGCATGAGGGGTTTGGTGGCTGTTTTCCTCCATGAAGGTGGCTGCATTCCTCATCTCAGCAGTTCAGCATTCTGAACTGACCGACAATTTGATGCCCTGTGGTTAATATTCGTGTCCTATCGGAACTCTTTTAATTTGCCTAGCTACTTTTCCCCCCAACATTTGTCTCATTCAGGAGAGCCATGTTGCACAATGCAAGGGGCACAATGTCCAGAAAGCCCTCACCTCATGCAGCACCAGACATGTATAATCTAATTCTTTTGTCTCATTTAGGAGAGACAATATGAGGTTTCTATTCGCTTTTTTTTTTCTTTTCTTTTCTTTTTTGAGATGGAGTCTCGCTCTGTCGCCTAGGCTGCAGTGCAGGGGCACCATCTCGGCTCATTGCAACCTCTGTTTCCCAGGTTCAAGTGATTCTCCTGCCTCAGCCTCCCGAGTAGCTGGGACTACAGGCGCCCGCCACCATGCCCAGCTAATTTTTGCATTTTTAGTAGAGACGGGGTTTCACCATGTTGGCCAGGCTGGTCTCGAACTCCTGGCCTCAAGTGATCTGCCCACCTTGGCCTCCCAAAGTGCTGGGATTACAGGCGTGACCCACCACGCCCAACCCAGGAGTTTCTAATCTCACTGTGGTCAGTGGAAGGGGAGCCTCCAGACTTGTGCAGTCCTCTTTCTTGTATGCTGCACACTGCTGCCCTCTCAAACCCGACGCCCATCCCCAGACTGATGGAGGTCTTGTCAGACAATTCAGAATCACTCATTTAGGTTTTTTTAAATGTTAGGCTTTATGATGTGTATTGGACAATACACAGGGAATCTCTAAACTTTAAGATGCTGAGTTAAATGATCTACATTTGCACAAGTATCCAGGTAACTACATTCTACTTCAAGAAAGCTTCTTGGTGAGAGACAAAAAAGCATTTGCAATTGGTCATTTCATTCATTTTCCTAAGAATAGTGTAGCTTTAAGTGTGTTATTGCAGCTGGGCATGGTGGCTCACACCTGTAATTGCAGTGCTTTGGGAAGCCAAGGTAGGAGGACCACTTGCACCCAGGAGTTGAGGCTAGCCTGGGCAACATGGCAAGACCCTATCTCTACAAAAATATAATAAATTAGCCAGACGTGGCGGTGTGCACCTGTAATCCCAGCTAATCGGAAGGCTGATGCAGGAGGATCGCTTTAGCCCAGGAGTTTGATGCTGCAGTGAGCTATGATCGTCCCATTGCATCCAGCCTGGGTGACAGAGTGAGGCCCTGTCTCTAAAGAAGAAACAAAACTACACGTGTTAATACTCTCCTGCCAAAGGCCACCAGCAATGCACCTATAGTTGAATAAGTTGGGTTTATTACCCATTACAGTGAGGGAGAATACACAGAAGGGTCTATAGGAAATGGGTGATAGAAAGATGGAAGAGGGTTTGGGTCTGTATTAGGTAATTTTGGGAGGGTTTGGAGAAATGGTTTTGCTCTGGATTGGATGCTGTCAGGAAGCAGGGGTAATTAGATACATTAATAATTCTTATCTATAAGAGAAGAATAAAGGGAGGTAAAGGCTTCAATTGAAAAGAAGCAGCAGGCCGGGAGCAGTGGTTCATGCCTGTAATCCCAGCACTTTGGGAGGCCAAGGCGGGTGGATCACCTGAGGTCAGGAGTTCAAGACCAGCCTGGCCAACATGGAAAAACTCTGTCTCTACTAAAAAATACAAAAATTAGCTGGGCGTGGTGGCGTATGCCTGTAGTTCCAGCTACTCGACAGGCTGAGGCAGGGGAATTGCTTGAACCCAGGAGGCGGAGGTTACAATGAGCCAAGATCGCACCACTGCACTCCAGCCTGGGCAACAAGAGCGAGACTCCCTCTCAAAAAAGAGAAAGAAAGAAAAAGGGCAGGGCGCAGTGGCTCACGCCTGTAATCCCAGCACTTTGGGAGGCCGAGGCGGGTGGATCATGAGGTCAGGAGATCGAGACCATCCTGGCTAACACAGTGAAACCCCGTCTCTACTAAAAATACAAACACAAAATTAGCCGGGCGTGGTGGCAGGCACCTGTAGTCCTAGCTACTCGGGAGGCTGAGGCGGGAGAATGGCGTGAACCCGGGAGGTGGAGCTTGCAGTGAGCTGAGATCGTGCCACTGCACTCCAGCCTGGGCGACAGAGGGAGACTCCGTCTCAAAAAAAAAAAAAGAAAAAAGAAAAAGAAAAGAAGCAGCAGTCACTCATTCTAGCCAGGATGGGGGCTGTCTGGTCATTTTTGTGGCTTGGACAATGTCCACGTATCTGTCTGTGTTGAGACATGATTATGGAGTGGTATTGTTTCTGTCTTGACTTGGTGTTAGGGTTTGGATATGGTTCATTTGGCCCTGCCAAGTCTCATGTTGAAATCTGATCCTCTGTGTTGGAGATGGGGCCTGGTGGAAACTCCTGAGGTCAGGAGTTTGAGACCAACCAGCCTGACCAAGGTGAAACCTCGTCTCTACTAAAAATACAAAAATTAGCCGGCCATGGTGGTATGTGCCTGTAATCTCAGCTACTCCGGAGGTTAAGACAGGAGAATTACTTGAACCTGGGAGGCAGAAGTTGCAGTGAGCCGAGATTGCACCACTGCACCAGCCTGGGCTATGGAGCGAGACTATCTCAAAAAAAAAAAAAAAAAAGTAATGTCATCTATTACTTTTTATTTATATTCCAGTTTAATCTAAAGATTATATATATACACACACACCCTTCCCTCCTCCAACGCAATTCCCATCCTCCTAGGGCATAGCTTCCATTTATGTGTAATGGAGTTAGCTGAGCTGCAATACTCAGAATAATGCTATGCATGGTTAAAAGCCTGGAATTCATTCCTCAGACAGGGGGATTTGCATCCCTATGCAAAGGATAGGGATCTTTGCATCTTTTGGACCTCATCAGAGATTGCCTCATGGAAAGAGGGTCTTCAATGAATGTTTATTGCATTTGTGGCCATGGGTGTTGAAGGTGATGGGGCAGTGAGGGGCAGAGGGTGGTGATCTTTATTTTATTTTATTTTATTTTATTTTATTTTATTTTATTTTATTTTATTTTTTTTGAGATGGAGTCTCGCTCTGTCGCCCAGGCTGGAGTGCAGTGGCGCAATCTCAGCTCATTGCAACCTCCGCCTCCCGGGTTCAAGTGATTCTCTTGCCTCAGCCTCCCAAGTAGCTGGGACTACAGGCATGCGCCACCATGCCCAGCTAGTTTTTTTATTTTTAGTAGAGACAGGGTTTCACCATGCTGGCCAGGCTGGTCTCGAACTCCTGACCTTGTGATCCGCCTGCCTCAGCCTCCCAAAGTGCTGGGATTACAGGCGTGAGCCATCGTAGCAGCCTGGTGATCTTTAGAAAGACGTATGTTTACTCCTCTAAGACTAGATGAGAGAAATTCCTCTCTACCAATCTCTACATGCTTCTAGCCAACTACCCACATAGCAGCTTCACTGCTGAATTTCACAGACCGTTCACACTGGGTCCACAATGGCACTCTGGGCGTCTTCCTGAGCATCATCTCCAGTCTTCTTCTTCTGCCAGTATTTCCCCATCATAAATGACACCGGTGAACGACAAGACAGTGGATGAAGTCAGAAATTTAGGGCCAGGGGTGGTGGCTTACGCCTGTAATCCCAGCACTTTGGGAGGCCAAGGTGGGTGGATCATTTGAGGTCAGGAGTTTGAGACCAGCCTGGCCAACATGAGACTCCATCTCTACTAAAAATATAAAAATTAGCCAGGTGTGGTGGCTCATGCCTGTAGTCCCAGCTACTCGGAAGGTTGAGGCAGGAGAATGGCATGAACCCGGGAGGTGGAGATCATGCCACTGCACTCCAGCCTGGGTGACAGAGCAAGACTCCTTCTCAAAAAAAAAAAAAAAAGAGAGCAAAGTCGATAGTTATTTGACAGAGTAGTTTTGTCTCTCGAATATGATAATATAAAATTGGGTCTTGGATTTATTATGAGTCAACAATAATTTTCTGTAAAATGCCAGACAGCAAATATTTTAGGCTTGAGGGCCACATGGTCTTTGTCATATTCAGCTCTGCTGTTGCAGTGAGAAACATATGAAATTGAGCCTAATATGAACAAGTGTGGCTATGTTCCAATAAAACTATTCATGATGACTGATATTTGAATTTTTTTTTTTTTTTTTTGAGACAGGGTCTTGCTCTGTAGCCCAGGTTTGAGTGCACTGGCGTGACCACAGCTCATAGCAGCCGCAAATTCCTAGGCTCAAGTGATCCTCCTGCCTCAGCCTCCCAAAGTGCTAAAGGTGTGAGCCACTGCACCTGGACTGAATTTCACGTAATTTTTACATGTCATGAAATCTTTTTATTTTGTACCAACCATATTAAAATGTGAAAACATTCTAAGCTTAGGAGCTCTAAGCAATCAGACTGTAGACTTGATTTGGGCCCAGGGACATAGTTGGTTATGTAATATCTGCTCTGTATAAGTTTTAAAATTTTACTTGAGGTAATTGTTATTGCATTTCACATATTTCACATCAGATTAGAAATTTGAAAAAACAGAAAAACCAGTCCTTACAGCGTATAATTTAGGAAGCCTTGCTTGCCCTATGTCTCAGATCTAATGCCACCTCCTTAAAGAGGTGTTCCTGAGCCAATATATCAAAAGCAATTTCAATCACTGATTAGAAAAAGAGTTTGTTTCTGTTTCTGGTATGATAATGACTTTGTGTCTAGGTCTTAGAATATACGTACAAAAATCTTTTTTAAAAAATAGAGACAGAGTCTTGCTATATTGCCCAGGCTGGTCTCAAATTCCTGGGCTCAAGTGAACCTCTTGCCTCAGACTCTCAAAGTGCTGAGATTACAGATGTGAACAACCACACCCAGCCCATACTAAAATCTTTATGGGTGAAATGATATGGATTTGCTTCAAAATAATTGGAGAGGAGTAAATTAGTGGGTTGTAGACAGTACAAAATTAGCTACTTATTGAAGACTGTTGAAGACGCATGGTGGGTATTTATTATCCTTCTAGAAACTTCTGTGTATGTTTGAAATACTCCATAATAAAAGGTTAC
Source organism: Homo sapiens (assembly GCF_000001405.40). Lineage (NCBI taxonomy): Eukaryota > Metazoa > Chordata > Mammalia > Primates > Hominidae > Homo > Homo sapiens. The sequence goes on along the minus strand of NC_000001.11, from coordinate 241,967,786 downwards.
AAAATAGACCTGATGTGGTGGTGCCTGCCTGTAATCCCAGCACTTTGGGGAGGCTGAAGTGGGAGGATCACTTGAGGTTACAGTGAGCTATGATTGTGCCACTGCATTCCAGCCTGGGCCGCAGAGTGAGACCCTGTCTCAAAAAAAAAAAGAAAAAGAAAAAGAAAAAGAAAAGGAAAAGAAAAAAGAAAAAAAGAAAAGTCACAAAATTGGTTCCATTCTCTTCCTTTCCCCCCAACCTATGTTTTGTTTTGTTGTTGTTATTTGAGATGGAGTCTTGCTTGATCACCCAATCTCTTCTCACTACAACCTCTGCCTCTCGGGTTCCAGTGATTCTCATGCCTCAGCCTCCCAAGTAACTGGGACTAGATGTGTCTGCCACCACGCCCGACTAATTTGTTGTAATTTTAGAGGAGATGAGGTCTCGAACTCCTGACCTTAGGTGATACGCCCACCTTGGCCTCCCAAAGTGCTGGGATTTCAGGCGTGAGCCACCGCGTCTGGCCTCTGGTTTGTTGTGTTAGTTTTCTTTATCGACTCCATCACAATTTAAGATGGTTTTGGTTTTTATCTACCTTCCCCCGCACCCGGCCAATTATCCCATTCTTAAAGGAGTCTCTGAACCAAAAAGTTAACAACTATTTCTCTCCTTTAACATTTTTGGACCATCCTGGCTAACACAGTGAAACCCCGTCTCTACTAAAATTACAAAATATTAGCCAGGTGTGGTGGCGCATTCCTGTACTCCCAGCTACTTGGGGGGCTGAGGTAGGAGAATCTCTTGAACCCGGGAGGCGGAGGTTGCAGTGAGCCAAGATCATGACACTGCACTCCAGCCTGGGTGACAGAGTAAGACTCCATCTCAAAAAATAAAATAAAATAAATAAAATAAAAAATAAAAACCTTAATAACTGTTCAATCTATGTGATGGTTTACTGAGGCTCCTTGTATTTACTATTTTTCTATTACTTAGCATGCTTTAACATGTTCATTGAAATATGTCTTTTAATGACGAAAAGTTTATGTATTAGATTTTCATCTCAGTGAATGTAGAATCTCATTTTAAAAGTTTTTATTTGGGGCTGGTTGCCATGGCTCATGCCTGTAATCCCAGCACTTCGGGAGGCTGAGTCGGGTGGATCACCAGAGGTCAGGAGTTTGAGACTAGCCTGGCCAACAAGGTGAAACCCCATCTCTACTAAAAACACAAAAATTAGCTGGGTGTGGTGGCGCGAGTCTGTAATCCCAGCTACTCGGGAGGCTGAGGCAGGAGAATCGCTTGAACCCGAGAGGTGGAGGTTGCCGAGAACTGAGATCACACCACTGCACTCCTGCCTGGGGGACAAAGTGAGGCTGTCTCAAAACAAATAAACAAAAAACAAGTTTTTATTTGGGAGAGACGCAGATTCCAGAGAAATAGGGTCAATGTTCCACGATCTCATCTAAAAAATAAACTCAGGGCCGGGCGCGGTGGCTCACGCCTGTAAACTCAGCACGTTGGGAGGCCGAGGCAGGTGGATAACCTGAGGTCAGGAGTTCAAGACCAGCCTGGCCAACATGGTGAAACCCCATGTCTACTAAAAATTAAAAAATTAGGGCTGGGCGCAGTGGCTCATGCCTCTAATCCCAGCACTTTGGGAGGTCAAGGTGGGTGGATCACAAGGTCAGAAGTTTGAGACCAGCCTGGCCAAGATGGTGAAACCCCATCTCTACTAAAAATACAGAAGTTAGCCATGTGCAGTGGTGGGCACCTGTAATCCCAGCTACTCAGGAGGCTGAGGCAGGAGAATCGCTTGAATCCAGGAGGCGGAGATTGCAGTGAGCCAAAATTGCAGCACTGTACTCTAGCCTGGATGACAGAGCAAGACTCCATCTCAAAAAAAAAAAAAAATTAAAAAATTAACCGGGCATGGTGGCAGGCACCTGTAATCCCAGCTACTCGGGAGACTGAGGCAGAAGAATCTCTTGAACCGAGGAGGCAGAGGTTTCGGTGAGCCGAGATCACGCCATTGCATAGCAGCCTGGGCGACAAGAGGAAAAATCTTTCTCAAAAATAAATAAGCAAATAAAAGTTTTTTTAAAAATTCAGAAAAATGATTCATGCCCTCTGTATCTCATGTTCAATTAAAATTAATACTAACTTTTTTATGAAAAGAAATATTTAATGAGATCTAAGAGTTTTATGTTACTTATTGCAGGTTGCTGTTTGAAGACCAAATGAAAGACTACTAGGGATCAAATGCTCCAGTTCCCCACCTCCAAAAATCAGGGATCCCCCTTCTCTTTAATTCACTTATTCCATAAAAAGTAACCAGTATTTTCTTTTTCTTTCTTTTTTTTTTTGAGATGGAGTTTTGCTCTTGTTGCCCAGGCTGAAGTGCAATGGCGCAATCTCGGCTCACCGCAACCTCCGCCTCCTGGGTTCAAGCGATTCTCCTGCCTCAGCCTCCCGAGTAGCTGAAACTACAGCCACGTGCCACCATGCCCGGCTGATTTTGTATTTTTTAGTAAAGACAGGATTTCACTATGTTGGCCAGGCTGGTCTTGAACTCTTGACCTCTGGTGATCTGCCCACCTTGGCCTCCCAAAGTGCTGGGATTATAGACGTGAGCCACCGCACCCAGTGTAACCAGTATTTTCACCATGCCAGAAGGGAACAAGATCACTGGAGGGTCTTACATCAACAATGAAATTCCCTGACCAGGAAGTAACACGTCACTTCTGCTTACAATACAATGACCAGAACTAGTCACGTCATCTCATCTGGCCTAGTGCTAAGAAATACAATTCTACATGGGTGTGGTGGCTTATACTTGCAATCTCAGCCCTTTGAGAGGCTTAGGCAGAGGATCACTTGAGGCCAGTAGTTTGATGCCAGCCTAGGCAATATATGGAGACCCTGTCTGTACAAGATAAAAAATAAAAAATTAGTTAGGTGCGGCGGTGCATGCCTGTGGTCCTAGCTACTCTGGAGGCTGAGGTGGAAGGATTGCTTGAGCCCAGGAGTTCAAGGCTGCAGTGAGCCATGATTGCGCCACAGTACTCCAGCCTCAGCTGAACTTCTCTTTTGTAAAACTGATTGCTGACTTCTCTTACTTCAGGCACCTAAAATCTCTTGGCCCAGCAGTTTCTGCCGTTCAAGTGATTTCAGTGGAAAATGTATGCCTATGTGAGAAATTTGGGGATGGGGCAGGGGATGAAGGTAGATAGTTTTAAAATGAAACAGAATGATGTAACAGCTGCCTAACTTGGCGTCTATTCACACCCCTTAATCTCTTTTATTTAAATAAAAAAAATTTTATTAAGATAAAAGAGGCCGGGCACAGTGGCTCACGCCTGTAATCCCAGCACTTTGGGAGGCCAAGGTGGGTGGATCACCTGAGGTCAGGAGTTCAAGACCAGCCTGGCCAACATGGTAAAGCCCCATCTCTACTAAACATACAAAAAAATTACCCAGGTGTGGGGGCACATGCATGTGATCCCAGCTACTCGAGAGGCTGAGGCAGGAGAATTGCTTGAACCCGGGAGGTGGAGGTTGCAGTGAGCCGAGATCGTTCCATTGCACTCCAGCCTGGGCGACAAGAGCAAGACTGCAACTCAAAAAATAAAAAAAAAAAAAATAAAAGAAATTAATAATAGTAAATACTGTTAATTAAGTACTCCTAATCTAGTACTAATTACTAGAGAGTATTTAATAAACCAAAGGAAGACAATAAAATTTCCCAGATTCCCATCAGTCAGTATAATTTAGTGATTTATTCATTCAACTATTCATTGAATGTCTACTCTGCAGGAGGCACTGTGCAGGCTGTTAGGGACCTAATTGCAAACAAGAGTCCATGACCTTTTAGATTCTATCATTTAAAGCAGGAGTCAGCAAATTATGACCCATGGGCCAAATCCAGCCTGCCACCTCTTTTGGTAAATATAATGGCTGCTTTTTACACTATAATGGCACAATTGAGTAGTTGCAACAGAGACCACATGGACCCAAATTCCTAAAATTTTACCATTTGGCCTTTTTTTGAAAAAGTTTGCCAAACCCTTGTTTAGAGGCAATTGGTCACTAATTTTGTCAGATTATTCTTAGTTATTTAGTAATGTAAGCCATTTTAGGCCAGACACCAGTGGCTCATGCCTTTAATCCCAGCACTTTGGGAATCCCAGCACTTTGGGAGGCCAAGGAGAGTGGATGATTTGAGGCCAAGAGTTCGAGACCAGCCTGGCCAACATGGAGAAACCCCATCTCTACTAAAAATACAAAAGTTAACATGGCGTGGTGGCGGGCACCTGTAGTCCCAGCTACTTGGGAGGCTGAGGCAGGAGAATCGCTTGAACCTGGGAGGCGGAGGTTGCAATGACCTGAGAGATAACACCACTGCAGTCCAGCCTGGGTGGCAAAGCAAGACTCTGTCTCAAAAAAAGAAATAAATAAATAAAAACAAATAAATAATTTAAGCTATTTTAATTTTTTTTTCTGGTTGTTGCTTATATAAAGAAATACATTTGAGGCTGGGCATGGTGGCTCAACATTTTGGGAGGCTGAGGCGGGTGGATCACCTGAGGTCAGGAGTTCGAGACCAGCCTGGCCAACATGAGGAAACTCCATCACTACTAAAAATACAAAAATTAGCCGGGCGTGATGGCAGGTGCCTGTAATCCGAGCTACTTGGGAGGCTAAGGCAGGAGAATCACTTGAACCCGGGAGGCGGAGGTTTCAGTGAGCCGAGATTGCACCATTGCATTCCAGCCTGGACAACAAGAGCAAAACTCTGTGCTGAAAAAAAAAAAAAAGAAATACATTTGATTCTTATATTAACATTGTAGCCAATATCTTTCTTAATTAATCTATTAATTCTTTTTTTTTTTTTTTGAGACGGAGTCTTGCTCTGTTGCCCAGGCTAGAGTACAGTGGCTCGATTTCGGCTCACTGCAAGCTCTGCCTCCCAGGTTCATGCCATTCTCCTGCCTCAGCCTCCCGAATTAATCTATTAATTCTAATCATTTTATTTGGATGTTTTGGATATTGTTATATGATCATGTCATATACAAATAACAATTTATTTATTCCCCTCTAATTATTATACTTTTTATTTTTTATTTATTGCACTAGCTAGGATTATTAAATAGAAATGCTGATAGTCAGTATCCGGTCTAGGACATGATTAAATAGAAATGCTGATAGCCAGTATCCTGTCTCTTTCCTAATCTCAGGCAGAAAGCTTCAATTTGTTTTTCAATTTTTTTAGAGACAGGTTCTCACTGTGTTGCTCAGACTGGAGTACAGTTTTTTATAATGCTATTCACAGGCACATTAATTACCCACTACAGCTTTGAATTCTTGGTCTCAAGTGATCTGCCTCCCAAGTAGCTGGGGCTACAGGCATGTGCCAACTCACCTGACTTTTTTTTTTTTTTTTTGAGACAGGGTCTCTATTTGTCTTCCCAGCTGGAGTGCACTGGCACCCTCACGCCTCACTGTAACCTTGACTTCCTGGGCTTAAGCGATTTTCCCACTTCAGCCTCCAGAATATCTGAGACTACAGGCACATGCTACCACTCCTGGCTAATTTTTTAACATTTTAAATTTTTTTGTAGATACTAGGTCTTACTATATTGCCCAGGGGGTTCTCAAACTCCTGGTTTCAAGCAATCCTCCCACCTCAGCCTCCCAATGTGCTGAAATTACAGGTGTGAGCCACTGTGCCCAACCCTGGCTTATTTTTAAGTAAAAAATTTTCATGGAAATGCCTTTATGTATATCCAAGGAATACATATTGGGAACATTTTCCTTTTTTTTTTTTGAGACAGAGTCTTGCTCTGTCGCCCAGGCTGGAGTGCAGTGGCGCAATCTCGGCTCACTGCAAGCTCCGCCTCCAGGTTCACACTATTCTCCTGCCTCAGCCTCCTGAGTAGCTGAGACTACAGGCACCCGCCACCACGCCCGGCTAATTTTTTATGTTTTTAGTAGACACGGGGTTTCACCGTATTAGCCAGGATGGTCTTGATCTCCTGACCTCGTGATCCGCCTGTCTCGGCCTCCCAAAGTGCTGGGATTACAGGCATGAGCCACCACGCCCAGCCCATTTTCCTTCTAAATACTTCTCTGAGTTTTGAAACTGCATATTTTATAATCTAATATTTGTACTTTACACATTATAGAATGTTTAATATGTAGGGGTTATTCTAGGTACATCTGCATGACAGTTAAATTAGCCCTCCAGAAGTAGTTTATAGTTTGGTTAGAAGACATTGACACACAGGCCGAGTGCAGTGGCTCATGCCTGTAATCCCAGCACTTTGGGAGGCCAAGGCGGACGGATCACCTGAGGTCAGGAGTTCAAGACCAGCCTGGCCAAAATGGCAAAACCCCGTCTCTACTAAAAATACAAGTATTAGCCGGGCGTGGTGCAGGCGCCTGTAATCTCAGCTACTCAGGAGGCTGAGGCAGGAGAACCACATGAACCCAGGAGGCGGAGGTTGCAGTGAGTTTAGATTGAGCCACTGCACTCAAGCCTGGGTGACAGAGGGAGACTCCGTCTCAAAAAAATAAATACATAAAAAAGAAGACATTGACACACAGGGAAGAGCACAGGCAAAGGTGGAGTGATAGGCTTGGCACATTTTGGCACAGAAAGGAACTGGGAGAAGTATAATCTGGGCCTGGAGAGGCAGCAGGAACAGATCTTCTGGGGCTGAAAGGTGTGGTCAGGATTTGAGATTTTATGAGGGCAATGGAGAAGCTGGAGGAAGGCATGATACAATTTGCATTTTAAAAGCTTTCTCTGATTGGCTTATTTTACTTTTTATTTTTTAGAGATGGGGTCTCACTATGTTGCCCAGGCTCGAGTGCAGTGGCCCAGTCACAGCTCACCGCAACCTGGACCTCCCAGGCTCAAGGGATCCTCCCACCTCAGCCTCCAGAGTAGCTAGGACTACAGGTGCACACCACACCACGCCCGGCTAATTTTTAAAAAATATTTTGTAGGCCAGGCGAGGTGGCTCACACCTGTAATCCCAGCATTTTGGGAGGCCAAGTCGGGCCTGTCACCTGAGGTCAGGAGTTCGAGACCAGCCTGGCCAACATGGTGAAACCCCGTCTCTACTAAAATAATACAAAAATTAGCTGGGCATGGTGACATACACCTGTAATCCCAGCTACTCGGGAGGCTGAGGCAGGAGAATCGTGAACCTGGAAGGCAGAGGTTTCAGTGAGCTGAGATTGTGCCACTGCATTCCAGCCTGGGCGACAGAGTGAGATTCTGTCTCAAAAAAAAAAAAAAAATTAGCTGGGTGTGGTGGTGGATGTCTGTAATCCCAGCTACAAGGGAGGCTGAGGCAGGAGAATTGCCTGAACCTGGGAGGCAGAGGTTGCAGTGAGCTGAGATCACACCACTGCACTCCAGCCTGGGAGACAAGAGCAAAACTCTGTCTCAAAAAAAAAAAAAATTAAATTAATTTAAAAATTTTTCCTTAAGATGGGGTCGCCCTATGTTGCCCAGGCTGGTCTCAGAACTCCTGGGCTCAAGCATTTCTCCCTCCTCCACCTCTCAAAGTGCTAGGATTCAATCTTCAGCTTTCTGGAAGGGTTCACCTCAAGACCCCTTAATTTATCTACCAGCCAATGTTACCAGTCACTTCCTGGCCACCCCAGCCCCTCACCTCACAGTTAATCTCAACATCATGACACAGTCCAGTAAGACTCACCTTTCACTTTGAACATGTCGAAATTTATTGAAAGTTTCTCAAGGATGAAGAGGAGGGGCTTACACTATGCATCACAACAAAAACGAAATTTTTGAGTATTCTCTCCCCTGCCCCCGACTTCAATGTTCCATTACATACATCCATGGCCCAAAATGTTTTTAAATTAAAAAATTGGAAACCTCCACCTTGCTCCTCACCGTGCCCTTTCCTCCCCACACTTAGTCCTTGCCTCTGTGTCCCTTTATCCCTTTATGCAGGAATAATCTTAGCCTCTTGTAATTTAATTTTTCCTGTCATTTTGAATGTTCGGGTGGAGAAGGGGAGTGGAAGTTACAAGGAAGAAGGGACAAAGGTGTGTTGGGGAAGACTTATCTGATAATATATTTATAGTACTTTAGAAAAAAAGAAAGTGGGCTGGGCGGGGTGGCTCATGCCCGTAATCCCAGCACTTTGGGAGTCCAAGGCGGGCGGATCACCTGAGATCAGGAGGTTGAGACCAGCCTGGCCAACATGGCAAAACCCCGTCTCTACTAAAAATACAAAAATTAGCTGGGTGTGGTGGTGCGTGCCTGTAATCCCAGCTACTCGGCAGGCTGAGGCAGAAGAATTGCCTGAACCCAGGAGGTGGAGGTTGCAATGAGCCAAGATTGTTCCCCTGCACTCCAGCACTCCAGCCTGGGCCACAGAGTGAGACTCTGCCTCAAAAAAAAAAAGAAAAGAAAAAAAAAAGAAGGTCGGGTGTGGTGACTGACGCCTATAATCCCAGCATTTTGGGAGGCCGTGAGGCGAGTGGATCACCTGAGGTCAGGAGTTCAAGGCCAGCCTGGTCAACATGGCAAAACCCCGTCTCTACTAAAAATACAAAAATTAGCCATGTGTGATGGCAGGCGCCTGTAATCCCAGCTACTCAGGAGGCTGAGGCAGGAGAATCGCTTGAACCCAGGAGGCGGAGGTTGCAGTGAGCTGAGATGGCGCCACTGCACTCCAGCCTGGGTGACAGAGCAAGACTCAAGAAAGCTACTTTTGATACCTTGAGGCAACCCAGATGAGACTCCACTTGAAATTTATAAGCATGAACTTGAGTGCCTTTGTCCACAGCTCCTGCGTGTTCAGATGGGTTCTGATGGAATAGCATTCCCCTCGGCCGCCAACGTCCTCCATCAGGCCTGTCTCCACCTGGATCCCGTAGGGCAGAGAGAGGCCCAGCTCACCCTTCTCAGCCTCTTCCTTGAACTGCTGCATGCAGTCCAGGAAGGCCACCATCGCGCGGTCATACTTGTTATTGAGGAAAACATCCTGCCCCCCATAACAGAACAACGGCAGCTCAGTGCGGTCATCTGTTAAAGACTTCAGATACGAATGGTTTCCGCAGGGGATGAGTCGATACCTCTGAAACTGCAGTCCAATTGTATTGGCCAGGGTAAGGAGCAGCAAGGCCGCCTGTCCCCAGGCAGTGTTAATCTCATTCCAGCCCACACGGACAGTGGGGAGGCGGCCCAACCTGAAGTTATTGATGACGCCCAAGGGGCCCTCCACCCAGATCTCAAACGTGGCGGTGAAACAGTTGATTTCCTTCAGCCGGTCCCTCTGGACCCTGGCATACTGCAGCTGGTTCTCCACGTTCCCCAGCTGATCAAGCAGTTCCAGCTGCTGCCGCTTCAAGGCACTGTAGTCCCTGTAGTGCTGCCTCTCCTGCTGGTCCAGCTCCGCAGCCTCTGCCTGGGCTGCCTGGAGATCCGCCGCTGCTCTTGCATTGTTCCTGTCCACATCCTCCAGCTCCTGCACCAGCCTGGCCTCCTCCAGCTCCAGGTCCCGCAGCTCCGCCCGCAGCGCCGCCGCCTCGTCCTCGCTGGTCGCCAGCTCCCCGGTCTCCAGGCAGCGTTGGTAGTTCTGACTGTCAGCTTCTGTGAGAGCGAGCTGGATGTCCAGCTGCTCTAAAAGACTGTCGGTGCATTCTTCACACAGGGGATGGTCCACAACTGCTTGGCCAGAGACTATGTCAAAAATGTCACCAGCTGCCTTCTGGATGCTACTGAGCATGTGCATGGCGCCAAGCTCCCCCAGCAGGGTGAAGATGTTGGCATGGCCCTTGGACACACTGCCATCGCCTGGAGGGGATCTGCTAGAGGCACCGTCCTGTTGCTCCTCAGCGTCTGTCACCTCCCTGGTGGTGACGCCGGGCTCCCGGGTGTCTCCGGGCTCAGCCTGCCCAGAGGTGGGCGCCGGGGCTGCAGGGAGGCTCCTAGACTCCGAGGAGCCGCTCAGCTTCAGGGCCTGGTGGCAGCGCTGGCACAGGAAGCGGATGGAAGACATGGCTAAGGGCCTGACTGCCGCCTTGAGTCTAAGTTTCCTCTGGCTCCCAGTTACTTATCATTTTATACCTTTTCAGGTCTTTCTAGAAGAGTGATCCTTTTAAAATGCACATGTCATCTTATCACTGTCCTACTGAAAACCCTACAATGGTACCCTCCTTCGGTACCTGTAGACCTCCTTCAGCTCCTTACAGACCAGGGATTATTTCCAAAAGGAAAATCTGATCATCTCCTTTTCCTCCTGTACCATGTCCAAGGCACGCCTTAAGCGTAATCTTGCTAAAACTAAAATCTCATCATGGCACTGCCCTCCTTAAAATGTTTAACACCCTTATCTAACCTTAAGATCGAGTCCAATCAGCTTTGGCAGAGGGCGTTGGCTCACGCCTGTAATCCCGGTACATTGGGAGGCCGAGGCGGAAGGATCGCTCGAGGCCAGTAGTCCTAGAATACCCTGGGCTAGATAAGCAGACCCCTTCACTACAAAAAGTGAAAAAATTAGCCAGGTGGGGTGGCCACTTACAGTCCCAGCTACTGAAAAGGGTGAGGTGGGAGGATTGCTTCAGAGCTTGAGGTTGCAGTGAGCTATGGTCCACTACACTCCTGCCTGGGCAACAGAGTGAGACCCTGTCTCCAACCCCGACCCTCTCATCCCCATGCCCCTTTTACACACACACACACACACACACACACACACACACACACACACACACACATACACACACACAGATTTTTTAAAAAAGAAAAGTTCAGGCTGGGTGCGGTGGCTCACGCCTGTAATCCCAGCACTTTGGGAGGCCGAAGTGGGTGGATCACCTGAAGTCAGGAGTTTGAGACCATCCTGGCCAACATGACGAAACCCCGTCTCTACTAAAAATACAAAAATTAGTCGGATGTGGTGATGGGTGTTTGTAATCCCAGCTATGCAGGAGGCTGAGGCAGGAGAATTGCTGGAACCCAGGAGGTGGAGGTTGCAGTGAGCCGAGATCACACCACTTTACTCCAGCCTAGGTGACAGAGAGAAACTCCGTCTCAAAAAAAAAAAAAAGGGAACGTTCAATCATTTTAACCTAACACCAAGGCCGGGGCCCATCTTTCTGGCTTCTTCTCTCCCCATTTCCTGCTCTCCTGAGCCGTGGGCTCCTCTGTGTTACTAGCTACATGCATGCTAGTTACATTTCGGTTCTTCCAGCATGTAACATTGTTCCCTCTAACTGGAACACTCTTCCTTCCCCTCTCCACCTGGCCAAGTCACTCATCCTCTAGGGCTGATTAATTGCTAAATCCACAGTGAACAGTAGATTATTGTTTTATGTTTTTTGAACGATTGATCTGTCTCCTAATCAATTGTGGTTGCCTCTCATGTTTGGCCCACTTGGAGGTTCTAGGGAATAATGAAGGGCCTGAAAAGGGGTAGGGGTTCTGCAGTCAACTGCCAGAGGATGCTTCTGTTATTGATTCAGGAATATTTCAGAGAGGCCATTTTCTCCAAGAAACTTCCCTGGCCCCCAATTTAAGGCTGTCTGCTCTTGTGACAAACTTTTTTTTTTTTTTTCAGATGGAGTTCTCTCTGTCACCCAGGCTGGGGTGCAGAGGCACAATTTCAGCTCACGGTAACCTTCGTGTCCAGGGTTCAAGTGATTGTCCTATCTCAGCCTCCTGAGTAGCTGGGACTAAGGGCGTGTACCACCCCGCCCGGCAAATTTTTGTATTTTTAGTAGAGCTGGGCTTTTGCCATGTTGCCCAGGCTGGTTGAACTGTTGACCTCAAGTGATCCTCCTGCCTCGGCCTCCTAAAGTGCTGGGATTACAGGCATGAGCCACTGCACACCTGGCCACACTTAACTTTGATTTTTGTTTCATTTCGTTTTGTTTTTCTTTTTCTTTTTGGTGGAGTCTCCCTCTGTCACCCAGGCTGGAGTGCAGTGGTGCAATTATAGGCTCACTGCAAACTCCACCTCGGGGTTCAAGTGATTCTCCTGCCTCAGCCTCCCAAGTATCTGGGACTACAGGCACATGCCACCATGACTGGCTAATTTTTGTATTTTCAGTGGAGACAGGGTTTCACCATGTTGGCCAGGCTAGTCTCGAGCTCCTGGCCTCAAATATTCTGCCCACCTTGGCATCCCAGAGTGCTGGGATTACAGGTGTGAGCCACCGCACCCAGCCCCTGGGGTCACGGTTGGAAGGGATCCTCACAGAATCTGTCTTTCCTCACCCTGACACTTCTCCCTACAGGGTAGAGGAGCAGCAGAATGAGGTTGAAACTGCTTTCAATGCCGTGGTCAGTTCTGAGTCCTGATTCATTCTCCGGAAGTAGAATGGCAAAGTAAATTCTCTGGTAATGGCTATGCCTTATTTTAATTATGCTTTCATGAAAACCAAACAAAAATTGAGCCACATGGCTTTTGAGCTGGAGTCACCGGAGGGACAATGCCACAGGCTAAGGGAATATAGTGGGGAAGGGGAGTGGGAATTCTTTCTGACCCTAGGTTATCCAACTGAATAATGCCTCCAGGATACTCCAAAATCTATGTTAGAGTCCTTCTCGAAGAAGGGAATCAGTGGAGCTGAATGAAGTGTTGCTCTCAGTTGGAAAGGAAATCCCTTCTTACTTCTGGAGATTTCCCCCTTCAATTCCTGCCTTATCACGAGATCGGGTGCATTCAGGGTGGTATGGCCATAGACATCAATTCCTGCCTTCCGTTTCCAAGATCTCATTTTTTTTTTTTTGAAGGAGTTTCCCTCTTGCTGTCCAGGCTGGAGTACAGTGGCACAATCTCAGCTCACTGCAACCTCCGCCTCCTGGGTTCAACAGATTCTCTTGTGTCAGCCTCCCGAGTAGCTGGGATTACAGTTATGCACCACCACGCCCAGCTAATTTTGGTATTTTTTGTAGAGACAGGGTTTCACCATTTTGGCCAGGCTGGTCTCGAACTCCTGACCTCAGGTGATCCACTCCCCCACCGCCCACTCGGCCTCCTAAAGTGCTGGGATTACAGGCGTGAGCCACCGCGCCCAGCCCAAGATCTCATTCTTGAGGGGTTGGGGGAGCCGAGAGGGAGAATTCTATAGATTGAAGTGTATGTGGGCCAGGGTTTTTGTGCACTACTGTGTTGCCAGCACTTAGGTGAATTATCTTGACCCTCAACTCTCCTTCCAAACTTCACTTATTCCCTTGGGTTCCTTTGCCACAAAACCCTGGGAGGGATTTGTCTATACTCACTGTCTCCAATTCCTCTCTGCACATTTCCTCTTTTTTTTTTTTTTTTTTTTTTGAGATGGAGTCTCACTTTGTCCCCCAGGCTGGAGTGCAGTGGCGTAATCTTGGTTCACTGCAACCTCCACCTCCCAGGTCCAAGTGATTCTTCTGCCTCAGCCTCCTCAGTAGCTGGGATTACAGGTGCCCGCCACCACACCTGGCTAATTTTTGTATTTTTAGTAGAGACGGGGTTTCACCATGTTGGCCAGGCTGGTCTCGAACTCCTGACCTCATGATCTGCCCACCTCGGCCTCCCAAGGTGCTGGGATTGCAGGCGTGAGCCACCGGGCTCGGCCTTCTTTTTTTTTTTTTTTTTTTTTTTAATGAGGAGAGAATGGCAACCATTTACAATGTTTAAGAATGAAAAGCCGGCCGGGTGCGGTGGCTCACGCCTGTAATCCCAGCACTTTGGGAGGCCGAGGGGGGCGGATCACGAGGTCAGGAGATCGAGACCATCCTGGCTAACATGCTGAAACCCCGTCTCTACTAAAAAAATACAAAAAATTAGCTGGGCTTCATGGCGGGCGCCTGTAATCCCAGCTACTTCGGAGGCTGAAGCAGGAGAATGGTTTGAAATGGGGAGGTGGAGCTGGCAGTGGGCCAAGACCGTGCCACTCACTGCACTCCAGCCTGGGTGACAGAGCGAGATTCTGTCTCAAAAAAAAAAAAAAAAAAAAAAGAACGAAAAGTCGATTAAGAAGAGGACTGAGCTTGGGCAACATGGTGAAACCCTGTCTCTACAAAAAATACAACAAACATATTAGCTGGGTGTGGTGGCACAGACCTGTAGTCCCAACTACTTGCAAGGCTGAGGTGGGAGGACTGCTTGAGCCCGGAGGTCAAGACTGCCTTGAGGTGAGGTGGAATCGTGCCACTGCACTCTGGCCTGGGTCATAGAGTGAGACCCTGTCTCAAAATAAAGTCTCAGAAAAGAGAAGGGAGGGGAGGGGAGGGGAGAGGAGAGGAGGGGAGATATTCTTATTTGGATTCCAGAGAATAGCTGCTTTAGATTCTTCTAGATCTCTGAGCTTCCATTTTGACCCACTGGCTCTCCCTCCTTATCTGGCCAAGAGATTATGCATTTAAAATAACTCTCAAATCTATTTTTTTTAATTTATTGATTTAAACAGGGTGTTGTCTCTGTTACCCAGTGTCACCCAGGCCGGAGTGCAGCGGCACACTCATAGCTCACTGCAACCTAAAACTCCTGGGCTCAAGTAATCCTCCTGACTCAGTCTCCTGAGTAGCTAAGACTATAGGTGCGTGCCACCACACCTGGCTAATTAAATTTTTTTTTTTTATAGAGATGGGGGTCTCACTTTGTTGCCCAGGGTGATCTCAAACTCCTAGGCTCAAGCAACCCTCCCACCTTGGCCTCCCCAAGCACTGGGATTACAGATGTAAGCCATCACACCCAGCCCCCCAAAAATCTAGTTTTGATATGAACAATTGTTTTTGTTTTTGTTTTGACAGGGTGTCGCTCTGTTGCCCAGGCTGGAGTGCAGTGGCGTGATCTTGGCTCATTGCAGCCTTGACCTCCAGGGCTCAGGTGATTCTCCCCCCTCAGTTTCCTAGTAGCTGGGATTACAGGTGGGCCACCACACCCAGCTAATTTTTGTATTTTTAGAAGAGACAGGGTTTCACTGTTTCCCAGGCTGGAACAATTGTTTTTTTCCGAAGCTTGCAAAATGTGAATAAAAGCTTCCATTAAAAAGTCAAGGCTACGTTGTTTACAGTTTAGGCATAAAAAAATTAAATAACATTTAAAAATAATAAATAAATAAATAAGGTAATTCAGGGCTGTGTACTCCCATGCTCATAGTAGTATTGTTCAACAATATCTGGCAAGGCGCGGTGGCTCACGCCTGTAATCCCAGCACTTTGGGGGGCTGAGGTGGGTGGATCACCTGAGGTCAGGAGTTCGAGACCAGCCTGACCAATATGATGAAACCCCATCTCTACTAAAAATACAAAAATTAGCTGGGTGTGGTGGCATGCACCTGTAATCCCAGCTACTCAGGAGGCTGAGACAGGAGAATCGCTTGAACCTGGGAGGCGGAGATTGCAGTGAGCCAAGATCGCGCCATTGCACTCTAGCCTGGGCAACAAGAGCGAAACTCTGTCTCAAAAAAGAAACAAACTAACTAACAAAAACACAACATCTAAAACATGGAAGCAACCCACATACCCATCAATGCATGAATGGACCAACAGTAGGTGGATGAATCTGATGGACCTTATGCTAAGTGAAGTATGCCAGTCACAAAAAGACAAATACTGTCTCATTCCACTTATATGAGGTACCTTGTCAAATTCACAGAGACAGAAAGCAGGACAGAAGTTTCCAGGAGCTGGCATGAAGGGAGGGTGGGAATTAATGTTTAATGGGTACAGAGTTGAAGTTTGGGAAGATGAAGAGTTCTGGGGGTAGATAGTGGGGTGGCTAAACAACAATGTGAAGGCACTTAATGCCACTGAACTGCACACTTAAAAAATTGGTTACAGTGGTACATTTTATGTATACTACAATTTTTTTTTAGAGATGGGGTCTCACTCTGTTGCCCAGGCTGGACTCAAACTCCTGGGCTCAAGTGAACTTCCTGCCTCCAACTGCCAAAGTCAGCTTTCCAAAGTGCTGGGATTATAGGTGGGAGGCACCGCGCCCAGCCAATGGATATCATATGATGATTTTTATTTATTATTTATTTATTTATTTATTTAATTTTTGAGACAGAGTCTTGCTCTGTCACCCAGGCTGGAGTGCAGTGGTGTGATCTCAGCCTACTGCAACCTCTGCCTCCTGAGTGCAAGTAATTCTCCTCAGTCAGCCTCCCAAGTAGCTGGGACCACAGGCGTGCGCCACCACACCCGGCTAATTTTTGTATTTTTAGTAAAGACAGGGTCTCACCATGTTGGTGAGGCTGGTCTCAAACTCCTGACCTCAGGTGATCCGCCCACCTCAGCCTCCCAAAATGCTGAGATTACAGGTGTGAGACACTGCACCTGGCCTTATACAACAATTTTAAAAAACCTCTAGACTCCCCTGGTTTTTGGGCCTCAGAGTATCCCTTGTTTCTTTTACAAACCTTTGCAGACTTTGCCTGCGGCTTCACAGAATTCAGCGTGAGGGATGTCAGGTATCTGAGGAAGAGCTTCTTCTGCTGCAGAGGCCAGAAACCTAGGCCAGATACGCCTCACACAGCTTGGGAAGACAATGCTCCTAAAAACAGGGATGCTCAGCTTTGTGGTTCATGTTAAAAAAGTCAGAAAGGAGGCCGGGCGCGGTGGCTCATGCCTGTAATTCCAGAATTTTGGGAGGCCGAGGCGGGCGGATCACCTGAGGTTAGGAGTTCGAGACCAGCCTGGCCAACATGATGAAACCCTGTCTCTACTAAAAATACAAAAATTAGACAGGCATGGTGGCAGGAGCCTGTAATCGCAGCTACTCAGGAGGTTGAGGCACAAGAATCACTTGAGCCCGGGAGGTGGAGGTTGCAGTGAGCCACTCCATTGCACTCCAGCCTGGGAGACAGAGCAAGACTCCATCTCAAAAAAATAAAAAAATTAAAAAGGAATGTCAAGCATTGTTTTATTTTGTTTGGTTTCAGACTAACCAGGTATCCTTTCAGATTCTTTGCCAAAAGACTGTAGATGAGTTAATTGGATCAAGCTGGAACGAGAGTTATTTTTTCAAGGCTCAAACTATCAAAAGAGCCAAGATTCTGACTTTTTGTCCCAACTCAGCTGCTGATGTAGGAAATCATTTAAGCTCACAGTCTGCTTAGTTAACCTCCATGAAATGGGCTTAATGCTAGCGATTAAGTGTTGCTCACAGGAAGAAACGTGGGCAAGGTCACATACACGTTGCCGCCTCAGTATTTGGCAGAGTGGGTGGTGTAAAGTAAGTGTTTAGTAATTGATTGATTGATTCCACATGCCATGACTAATGCTTAGAAGCACTCAGCCTAAAGGCATGGAGCTCCTTTCTCTTCCCAGAGCACTCATTTCTAGCTAATACCATGCCATAAAAATAAAATATAAATTTACAACAGAGCTAACTTAGGGAAATTATACACATAAAACAAATACGATCTATTTGTAAAAGGATTCACAGAATTTCTACAAATGGATCTTTGATTAGTGTGTATTCCAGATCATTAACTATTTATAATCAATGTTGAAATGTTGGGAGTTAATGCCAATTGAAGGTCGGAACTTTCTTGCAAGCCAGTCAAACCTGTGAAGGTTGACACCACTTTCTTTTTTATCTTTTTTTTGAGATGGAGTCTCACTCTGTCACCCAGGCTGGAGTGCAATGGTGCAATCTCGGCTCACTGCAAGCTCCGCCTCCCGGGTTCACACCATTCTCCTGCCTCAGCCTCCTGAGTAGCTGGGACTACAGGCGCCCGCCACCACGCCTGGCTGATTTTTTATATTTTTAGTAGAGACGGGGTTTCACCGTGTTAGCCAGGATGGTCTCGATCTCCTGACCTCGTGATCCGCCCGCCTCGGCCTCCCAAAGTGCTGGGATTACAGGCGTGAGCCGCCGCGCTGGCCCTGGGTTGACACCACTTTCACCAATGCACTTGCATGTGTGTCCCTTGATATCAGCAGATGGTACTTGTTGTATGTCCACCCACCTGCTGGACTGTGTGCCTTTTTTTTTTTTTATTAAAAAAAATTTTTTTAGAGACAGGATCTTGCTCTGTCACCTAGGCTGGAGTGCAGTGTCATGATCAGAGTTTACTGAGGCCTTGAACTCCTGGGCTCAAGCTATCCTCCCACCTCTGCCTCCCAAAGTACTGGGATTACAGGTGTGAGCCACTCTATCTGGCCTGTGCACCTCTTGAGGACATTGTTGAAAACCATCTTGTATCCTCCACATCTATTTCATTCTTTCTTTTTTTTCCCTTCCTCCCTATGGAGGGGCTTCTAGGCACCATGACTGCACTCAAAAAATCAGCCGGGAGTGGTGGTGCACGCCTGTAATCCCAGCTACTTGGGAGGCTGAGGCAGGAGAATCGCTTGAACCCAGGAGGCAGAGGTTGTGGTGAGCCGAGATTGTGCCTCTGCACTCCAGCATGAGCAACAAGAGCGAAACTCCATCTCAAAAAAAAAAAAAAAAAAGCAAAAAAACAAAACTAACGCAGGAACAGAAAACCAAAACACTGCATGTTCTCACTCATAAGTGGGAGGTGAACAAAGACAACACAGGGACACAGGGAGGGGAAGAACACACACCAGGCCTGTTGGGGGGTTGGGGGCAAGGGGAGGGAACTTACAGGACAGGTCAATAGGTGCAGCAAACCACCATGGCACATGTATACCTATGTAATACATTCTGTACATGTACCCCGGAAGTTAAAGTAAAATAAAAAATAAAAAAAAAAAAGAAGTTGGTGATTGATGCCACACTCGATCGACAAAGTCACAGTGAGCCTAGCCAACAGAGACCAGGGTGAACTAGAACAGCAGGAAGCCATGTGGTCCTGGGGCTTGTTAGAGTTACCATGACGGTGGAAAGTGTGTGGACATCACCAGGTCTCAGGGCACAAGGCCAAGTGAGGTGCTGCAAAGGAAAGTGAGGCAAGGGTCTGGAATCGGAATTCAGGAATGGATCTGGGAATGGTGAGGAAGCTGAGGGAGGTGAATGCAGGCACTTAGACTGTCATTAAAGCAAAGATATGGGCTGGCAACAGAGTTGGCTTATGGTCATTACTATTCGTTAATTAAATTCTACTGTAGGCATTGGGGAAGGGGTGGAGGCTAACAGCTGTTAAGCACCTAACATAACATGTTCCCGGCCTTAACGTGACAATTGTATTATTAAGCACATGTTCACCCTTCCTTCCCTCTACACGGGAACGTATTTTGGACAATGGACTAGGCTGAGGTGACAGCATGCTAGTTCCAAGGCCACCTTTCATCTAGTCCTCTTGTCCTGCTGTATTCCAAGAGAGTATCATACTCCGTGTAGCAGCTGCTCCTTCAGCCTCATTCCCCAAATGAGAAGACACCCAGAGCCCAGCCCAGCGCAGCCAATGCCAGCCTGCAAAACTCTGAGAAATAAATGCTTGGATCATAAACCACTAAAACTGAGGGTTATTATCACAGCAAAGGCTAACTAATAGATACAATTACCTTACATATATTTTCTCATTTTAATTTTGAAACAGGCAAAAGGATATCAGAATGCTGAATATCAGGAACTCTCAGGGTCTAGGATTTGAACTCATGTATATTTGACATTGAAAGTTTTGTGCTTTCTAGGAGAACATGACAACTCTTGGATTTGATGAGTAAAGCAAAAGTTGACAGAATAAAACAGTGACCTTAGAGAAATGCTAACTGAGTATTACTGGGGTAGCCCTAGGTACATGATTCTCAGCCAGGCACATGGCTCATGCCTGTAATCCCAGCACTTTGGGAGGCTGAGGCAGGTGGATCACCTGATGTCAGGAGTTTGAGACCAGCCTGGCCAACATAGTGAAACTCAGTCTCTACTAAAAATACACAAAATTAGCCAGGCATTGTGGTGCACACCTGTAGTCCCAGCTACTCGGGAGGCTGAGGCAGGAGAATTGCTTGAACCCAGGAGGCAGAGGTGGCAGTGAGCCGAGATCGAGACACTGTACTCCAGCCTGGGTGACAGAGCAAAACTCTGTCTCCAAAAAAAAAAAAAAAAAAAAAATCAGACCCTCCTGCTGAACAGATCTCATAATAGGAGTTCTACATCAACAAATCAGCCTCAGATGCCCCCAGGATGCAAATGGTCAGCTGCTGAGAGCTCCTTCTTTCCCTATGTACTTTCACATACATAGTGTAGTTAGTGACAGACCAGCATCCCAGAGTGAAGACGATCAGGCTGCTGCCAATAGCTTTGGTGAGAGTAAAAACAACTATGACCTTGTCTCACACTCCTGCACTCGTCTGCCAGAAAGCCCTGGCTCCTGTCCTTTCATGAGTCAACCTTGCAGGTGTTTGTGTGGGACTCTCGGGGATGAAAAATGATGCTCTGGCATGGAGAAGCACTGCAGGGCTTACTAATCCCTTAACACCGGAAAGTAGGAAAGGGAAAAACAGCTAACGGGATGGAAAGACAGTTTGGGAATTGGTTTGGGAAGAACAGCAGACCTTCATGGAGTCAGCCGGAAAAGGTAGTTCAAATATATTTTTTCAAAGATCCTGAGTAATTTTTCGGTTTTTCATATTTACCACATCAGGGTCAGCCTGGCCCCTTGGGCAGTGGAACGTGGCCCTGGAGCCTCCTGAGAAACTTCTCTGGTAGGTCAGGGAGTGAAGGAAGGGTCAACCTCTACCAGTGCCCTGCTGCTCTGGTGCCTTGAGAATTCACCCAGCCTACCCAGTCACACAGGTTGGTAGCTCAAAATGTTTGTTCTTAGCTGTGCACAATTTGGGAGTTTCTTCTCCTCTCTAGAACATACGGAGATCTCTCTTTGAGTCTGTCTCTTCCTTTTCCTGGAAAGCTCTTCAAGCACAATTGGCTCTTTCTCACCCTTCAGGCCCCAGCTGAAACTTCACTTGCTCGAGGGGGCTTTAACTGACCATTCTGTTTAAGTGGGTCTTCTGAGGTACTCTCTGTTTGAGTACCTTTACCAAACTGGTCACCATCTGTGGCTAGCTGTTGTTCAGCTGTTTATCATCTGTCTTTCCATTAGGATGTGAGCTCCGTCAAGCCAGGGACTGCATTTGTCTTATTCATTGCTCAGGCCTTTATGCCTGGCCTCTTATGAGCTTGACAATGAGTGACTTGAATGAATACATGTGAATGAATGAATGCGTGCCTCCTTGTATCAACTATGAAAGGCAAGTATAATTTTGCTATTAACTGCTGAAATCCATCTAGACTTTTCTTTTAAAATGTTGCCTTAATTGTGTCATATAAGCCATATATGAAGATTTGCTCCTGCAGAAGATTCAAGCACTTTTTTTTCTTTTTTTTTTTTTTTGTTTTGAGATGGAGTCTCTCTCTGTCGCCCAGGCTGGAGTGCAGTATGGCGCCATCTCGGCTCAATGTGACCTCTGCTTCCCGGGTTCAAGCGATTCTCCTGCCTTAGCCTCCTGAGTAGCTGAGACTACAGACACATGCCACCACACCCAGCTAATTTTTGTATTTTTAGTAGAGACGAGGTTTCACCATGTTGGTCAGGCTGGTCTCGAACTTCTGACTTTGTGATCCTCCTGCCTTGGCCTCCCAAAGTGCTAGGATTACAGGTGTGAGCCGCTGCACCCAGCCTAGATTGAAGCACTTCTAAAGAAATGGAAGACAGGGCCAGGCGCAGTGGCTCACGCCTGTAATCTCAGCACTTTGGGAGGCCTAGGCGGGCAGATCACGAGGTCAGGAGATCAAGACCATCCTGGCTAACACGGTGAAACCCCATTTCTACTAAAAAAAAAAATTAGCTGGGCGTGGTGGCGGGTGCCTGCAGTCCCAGCTACTCAGGAGGCTGAGGCAGGAGAATGGCATGAACCCGGCAGGCAGAGCTTGCAGTGAGCCGAGATCGCGCCACTGCACTCCAGCCTGGGCAAAAACAAAAAACAAACAAAAAAAGAAATGGAAGACAGTAACAGCCCCCAAGAGGCAACCACTTGCAAATGTTCTTGTTCTCTTTTCTCTAGCCTTTTCCTTTCTCTGCTGTTATATATCTGTGTACACACAGAGATATCCTTTAATATAAATGAGTTTTATTTTTCTTTAACAATGACTGGAATCTTCTCAGTCATTGCTGTAGTAAGCACTTCTCATAGTGCTTATTACAGATGAACCACGATTTTTTCCACCAGTGTTCTCTGGGTGGAAAACTAACATAAGGTAAGCAAGCATTCATGTTTTATCTCTTTCTGATATTTTGCAATTAGCTCTGTCATCCTAAAACAGAATTTACCAAGATTGGCTGGTTCACTGAATAAACGGTAATGGAAGTTGGTGCTCAATAGTGAGCAGGTCTATGCAAATCTGCCCCCAAAGGCCAAGGAAGCTGAGAAGCCAAAGAAACAGGCTGACAATGGCCAGGCGCGGTGGCTCACGCCTGTAATCCCAGCACTTTGGGAGGCCGAGGCGGGCGGATCACGAGGTCAGGAGATCAAGACCATCCTGGCTAACACAGTGAAACCCCGTCTCTACTAAAAATACAAAAAATTAGCCGGGCATGGTGGTGGGCGCCTGTAGTCCCAGCTACTCGGGAGGCTGAGGCAGGAGAGTGGCGTGAACCCGGGAGGCGGAACTTGGAGTGAGCCGAGATCGCGCCCCTGCACTCCAGCCTGGGCGACAGAGCGAGGCTCCGTCTCAAAAAAAAAAAAAAAAAAAGAGGCTGACAAATGCAGTTTCTGGGAAAGAAACATTTAGTAGGCACTTACAAACAGAAATGATGCCTCAGGTGTTTGCAAGATAAGATGGTGGAACTCCACGCTTACCTCCAGACCCAGGGCTCTGCATCGGGAGTTTGCGTAAGGGTAAGATTTACCTGAAGTATGTGAAAGTGAAAGTAGAAATCGTAGAGGCATTCCCGGAACGAGAGTTAATCAGAAGTCAACGTGGCGGATTAGCATCCACGATGGAGTTGCTTTAGCTTCCACAGCTGGTTTGGACTGCTGAGACGCAAGTTCGTTTTACTCTATTATTATTTTGTAATTTTCTTTCATCAGAAACTCACTCTGAGGATTCAGAATTCCACAATTTAGCAAAGTGTTTAATCCTTAATATAGAGGAAATTCATATTCAATAAAAGCCTACTTCAGTGCTTCTGTACCTCCTGGGGCTCATAAATGTACAAACCAGCAGTTTCAGGCTGGGGGTCCTCAGTCTCCCCAACCAGTGCTGACACATGCCGAGCTGAATTTGAAACAGTGGGAGATCTAGAGATGGTAAGAAATCATTTTTGTTTGTTTGTTTGTTTGTTTGTTTTAGAGACAGGGTCTTGCTCTGTCGTCCAGACTGGAGTGCAACAGTGTGATCATGGCTCACTATAACCTCAAACTCCTGCGCTCAAGCCATCCTCCCACCTCGGCCTCCCAAAGATGTTGGGATTACAGGCTTGAGCCACCACACCCAGCCAAGAAAAATTTTTGATATCTTCCCAATCCTGAGTCTTTGTGACCTCTCTGGTTTATTTCTGAGAGATCACTGAGCATTGGGCAGACTCACTCCTCTGCTGCAAGGTAATGATACTCGCTTGCCAAATCCAACACAAGTCTTTAGACAAAATGCCCCGAAAAGTGCTTTCAGTCTTTTTCTTCCTCTGTCATTTCTTGGGGTGTCTTTTGACTTAAGGATATTTTGAAAAGCTCACTCATCAAGTAGTTCTTTTTCTACTCTGATGTCCTGACCAGCACCAATCTTAGATCACATCCTATATAAATTTGCTTAGCGGGATTTCGGTGAGGAATGTTATCAAAAACACATGATTTTTCCTTGAGAGTCCTATTTGAGTACAGGATTAAAATTTTCAATCACCTGTCCTCTGTGGATGCTTAATCATAGTACCTAATAGATAATAGGTTTCCCATTAAATAATAATTGAATGAATGAAATGCTAAACCTGAAGCATTCATATTTTTCTTTTCTTTTTTTTTTTTTTTTTTTTTTTTTTTTTTTTGAGACACAGTCTCGCTCTGTCGCCCAGGCTGGAGTACAGTGGCGTGATCTTGGCTCACTCCAAGCTCTGCCTCCCAGGTTCACGCCATTCTCCTGCCTCAGCCTCCCAAGTAGCTGGGACTACAGGTGCCCGCCACCACACCCGGCTAATTTTTTGTATTTTTAGTAGATACGGGGTTTCACCGTGTTAGCCAAGATGGTCTCCACCTCCTGACCTCGTGATCTGCCCACCTCAGCCTCCCAGAGTGCTGGGATTACAGGCGTGAGCCACCGCACCCAGCCCATATTTTTCTGACTATGTCATGATGTCACTAGTGGTTCTTGTTTTTTTCTATTTTTTAGGGTTTTTTTTTTTGTTTGAGACGGAGTTTCACTCTCATTGCCCAGGCTGGAGTGCAGTGGTGCGATCTCAGCTCCCTGCAACCTCCGCCTCCCGGGTTCAAGTGATTCTCCTGCCTCAGCCTCCTGAGTAGCTGGGATTACAGGCATGTGCCACAATGCCCAGCTAATTTTTGTATTTTTAGTAGAGACAGGGTTTCTCCATGTTTGTCAGGCTGGTCTCAAACTCCCAACCTCAGGTGATCCACCTGCCTTTGCTTCCCAAAGTGCTGGTATTACAGGTGTGAGCCACCGCGTCCGGCCTCTATTTTTTAATTTTCAATTTTTATTTTTTTGAGACAAGGTATCCCTCTGTCACCCAGGCTGGAATGCAGTGGTGTGATCACAGCTCACTGCATCCTTGAACTCCTGGGCTCAAACACTTCTCCCATCTCAGCTCCCAAGTAGTTGAGACTACAGGTGCATGCTACCACACCTCACTAATTTTTTAAAATATTTTTGTAGGGATGGGATCTCCCTATATTGTCTAGGCTTTTTGTTTGTTTTGAGATAGGCTCGTTTTGTCAACCAGCCTAGAGTGCAGTGACACAATTATAGCTCACTGCAGCCTCATCCTGGGTCCAAGTGATCCGCCTGCCTCAGCCTCCCAAGTAGCTGGGACTACAGGCACGTGCCACGCCCAGCTGACTAGTGGTTGCTTTATTTTAAAACATTTTCTATCTCCCCTCTAGCCACAGTTATATGAATTTGGCCACTCTAAAAAAAAAAAATGGTAAGGGGTGTGATTTTTCTTCCTGATGAAAAAATAAAACTTCAAAAAATATATTTTTATTTAATAAATATTTATTATAGTTTCTATGCCTAAGAGTGAATGCTTAAACTAGTTTTGCCAAAAGGAGCTTCCTCTGCTATTGCCACATAATTGTAGTGATCTTTTTCAATCTAATAACTATGTGATGGGTGAGTAATGTTTGCCTGGTTGGTTACAAAAATAACTACATGATGTTTGTGTGTTATGCTCTTTTTAATTTTTTTGTATATTTAGGTTTGTACGTATTCCTTTGTGTGTATCTATGTATATATTTTCTTGGGTAAGTATCCAGCAAGAGAGTTTATAAAAGCAATACATTTCTGTTGAAATGCTCTGTGTTGGCTAGGCACAGAGGTTCACGCCTATAATCCCAGCATTTTGGGAGGCTGAGGCGGGCAGGTCACTTGTAGTCAGGAGTTCGAGACCAGCCTGGCCAACGTGGCGAAACTCAGTCTCTAATAAAAATACAAAAATTAGCCGGGCGTGGTGCCACATGCCTGTAGTCCCAGCTACTTGGGAGGCTGAGGCAGGAGAACTGCTTGAACCCGGGAGGTGGAGGTTGCAGTGAGCCAATATCACACCACTGCACTCCAGCCTGGGTGATAGAGTGAGACTCCATCTCAAAAAAAAAAAAAAAAAAGAAAGAAAGGAAAAGAAAAAAGAAGGAAAGAAATGTTCTGTGTTCATAGCTGCTCTCAAAAACTTTTATTAAATTGTGACATCATCATCAGCATAGGGTATCCTTGCAAACACATACATAATTAAAAGATTAGTATCAAAATATATAATGAAGTCCTACAAGTCAATTAGAAAAATCTATAACTTAGTAGGAAGATGGGAAAAAGACATGACTAGGGATTTTTTTTTCTTTTTTTTTTTTTTTTTGAGACAGAGTCTTGCTCTGTTGCCCAGGCTTAAGTACAGTGGTGCAATCTCGGCAATCTCCCGGGTTCAAGCGATTCTCGTGCCTCAGCCTTCTGAGTAGCTGGGATTATAGGCACGCACCACCACGCCCAGCTAATTTTGGTATTTTTAATAGAGATG